>NC_000005.10:177717117-177867563 GCF_000001405.40 Homo sapiens | reverse complement strand
AAATACACAATCTACCAAGAGTGAATCTGGAGAAACAGAAAACTGGAATAGACTACAATTAATAAGGAGATTGAATCTATAGCCAAAAACCTTTCAACAACAACCAAAAAAAAAAAAAACAAAACCCTAGAATAAGATGGTTTCACTAGTAAATTCTACCAAACATTTATAGAAAAATTAACAGCAATCCTCCTAAACTGTTAAAAAGACTGAAGAGAGGACACCCCCCACTTATTCTATAAGGCCAGCATTACCCTAATATAAAAGCCAAACAAATACACTACAAGAAAAGAAAACCACACAGACCAGTATCCCTGGTAAACACTGAAGTGAAAATCCTTAACAAAATACTAGCCAACAGAATTCAACAATGCTTTAAAATTACTACATACCACGACCAAGTGGGATTTATTTCTGGAATGCAAGGATGATTTAACATACAAAAAACAATGAATGCGGCCAGGTGCAGTGGCTCATGCCTGTAATCCCAACGCTTTGGGAGGCCAAGGTGGGCGGATCACCTGAGGTCAGGAGTTTGAGACCAGCCTGGCCAACATGGTGAAACCCTGTCTCTACTAAAAACACAAAAATTAGCCGGGAGTGATGGCGGGCACCTGTAATCCCAGCTACTCGAGAGGCTGAGGCACGAGAATCTGAATCCAGGAGATGGAGGTTGCAGTGAATTGAGATCGCGCCAGTGCACTCCAGCCTGAGTCACAGAGTGAGACTCCCATCTCGAAAAAAAAAATGCATTTCTCCACATAAATAGAATTAAACACAAAACCACATGATCATCTCAATTGATTCAGAAAGAACGTTTGACAAAATTCAACATATTTTCATGATAAAAAGTACCCAGCAAACTAGAAATAAAAGAGAACTACCTCAATATAATAAAGGCCATATATGTAAAGCTTACAGCTAACATGTTAAATGGTTAAAGACCAAAAGGTCTAGGATCACAAACAAGAATAAAGATGCCTGCTTTTGCCACTTCTATTCAACATAGTACTGGAAGTCCTAACTGGAGCAAGCAGGTAAGAAAAAGAAATAAAAAGCATCTAAATTGGAAAAAAAAACACATAAAATTATCTCTCTTCTCAGATTACACATTTAATGTAGGAAACCCTGAAGAGTCCACTAAAAAACAAACAAACAAACAAACAAAAACTGTTAGAACAATCACTAATCATTAGGAAAATGCAAATCAGGCCAGGCATGGTGGCTCATACCTACAATCTCAGTACTTTGGGAGGCCGAAGTGAGAGGATGGCTTGAGCCCAGGAGTTCAAGACCAGCCTGGGCAACAGGGTAAAACCCGGTCTCTACCAAAAATACAAAAATTAGCTGGGTGGGGTGGTGCGTGCCTGAAGTCCAGCTACTCAGGAGGCTGAGGTAGGAAAAGCACCTGAGCCTGGGAAGTCAAGGCTGCGGTGAGCTATGATTGTGCCACTGCACTCCAGCCTGGGCAACGGGAGAGAGACCCTGTCTCAAAAAAAAAAAAAAAAAGCAAAAATTAAAATTGAAATGATAATGAGATGCTACTTCATACCCATTATGATGGCTACTATTTAAAAAATGAGCAGAAAATAAAAAGTGTTGGCAAGGGTGTGTAGAAATTGAAACCATTGTGCACTATTGGTGGGAATGGAAAATGGTGAAGTCACATTGGAAAACAGTATGGCAGTTTCCCAAAAAGTTAAAAATAGAATTACCATATGATAAAGCAATTCTGTTTTGGGGTATAGACCCAAAAAGAATTGAAAAGCAGGGTCTCAAGGAGATCGCCATATACCCATGTTCACAGCAGCATTATTCACAATAGGGAAAAGATGGAAGAAATCCAAGTGTTCAGTGACAGATGAATGGGTAAACAAGATGTGATAAATACATATAATAGAATATTATTCAGCTTTAAAAAGAAATTCTGACACATGCTACAACATGAGTTTGAACTTTGAACACATTTTGCAAAGTGAAATAAACCAGTTACAAAAACAGAAATGCTGTATAATTCCACTTATATGAGATTTCTAGAATAGTCTAATTCATAGAAACAGAAAGTAGAATAGTGGTTGCCAGAGGCTGAGGGAAGGGGAGAATTCCAGGGAGTTACTGTTTAATGGGTATTGAGTTTGAGTTCAGCAAGATAAACAGTGTTCTGGAGACAGATGGTGGTGATGGTTGCAGAACAATGTGAATGTACTTTGTAAACCAAAAATAAAATTCTAACCACCTCCTGCCCCACCATCTGAATGGACTTCTCTTGGCAAGAGCATTCCAAGGCTAACCAGGGGGACTGGTTCTGACCATAATGGGAGGCAGGGAGCAGACATGTCTCATTATGCCCTCTTCCCTTTCAAAATTACTGAATAGAACAGACTGTTGAAGTCTGATGAAAAACATTTACAATCTGTTCTCTCTGAAGCCTGGTACCTGGAAGCTTCATCTGCATGATAAAACTTTGGTCTCCACAACTCCTAATCATCACAACCCAGAGGTTCCTTTCTACTGATTCCAGGTCTTTAGATAATAACATAACTCTTTCGACCAATTGCCAAATAGAAATTTTTTTAATCTACCTATAACCTGGAAGCGCCCCCTCCTTCAAGTTGTCTGGCCTTTCCAGACTGAACCAATGTACATTTTACATGTACTTTATTGATATCTCATGTCTCCCTAAAATGTATAAAACTAGGCCATGCCCCAACCACCTTGGGCACATTATTAATAGAGACAGGAGGCAGAGAAATCATAGTCAGATAGGGTGGGTCCCTGGTGAAACCCCACCTTCCAGCCCAAAACAGCCTGAAACTCACAGAGCAGAGTGAGACCTTCTATTCCTGTTTGCCTGCTCTCTCCCAATTGGATCTTTCTGAATAATGCCTTTTAACCAAACAAATGTTGCTTTTTCCTGTACTACCTACAGCCTGTGCCACCCCCATCATGTGTCTCTAAAGACCCCAGACTCAGTCAGTAGAGGGGAGATGGCCTGACTTTGGGGAGGAGACAGCCTGACTTCAGGGAAGAAATGGCCTGACTTCGGGACAAAGACCTCCTGACTTCAGGGGAAGACAACGAGCGGCCCTTCCCATCCCCTCTCCAACTCCCCTCTCCGCTGAGAGCTGTTTTCATCACTCAATAAAATTCTCTGCCCCCACCGTCCTTCAATCGGCAAGTGTGACCTCATTCTTCTTGGACGCTGGATAAGAGCTCAGGCCCCACCAAGTGTGGGTACCCAGAAGGGTTGTCACACTGGCCCTTTGCCCTCGCTGGCAGAGTGCAGCCACCCCACGCAACAGGGCCAGGGGCCGACTGAGCCGCTAACAATCTGTGGTCCATCAGGCTGTGGGCAGCAGAACTAAAAGAGCTAATTAGCACATGAACACAGCCTCTGGGGCTTCAGGGTCACAGGCACCCTTGTCTGGGTGCCACGGCATTCCCCTCAAGGCAACATGCCTGGTCTGGCCATGGGTGCTGCGTAGAGCTTGCTCCCGTATCAGCACCCAGAGCAGCCAGCCGGATCCCGCATTCACTCACCCACTCACGTACTCCCTCCCACAAGAGGGCTGAGTGCGGCAGGCCAAGTAGATGGGGCACCCCTGCCGTGAGTCCAGCAAAGGGGCGGAGAAAAATCCTGCATCATTGTCGGAACTTGCTGAGGCTGTTTAACCTTGGCAAAATAAACTTTCCACGTTGATTGAGATCTGTCTCAAATACTTTGGATTCACAACTTAACACCACTTAACTGTACACTTAAAAATGGTTAAGATGGTAAAACTTATGTTGTGTGTATTTTATGACAATTTTAAAACTAAGAAAAAAAATACATACTAAATTGTTAACAGTGGTTACCACTGAAGAAAAAGACAAGGGGAGAAGGAAACACTTTCGGTTTTCACAATTCTAAATTGTTGGAACTGTTTTTATAATTAATAAACCTTGTATTAGGGAAACAATTTTAAACATAGAAAAATTTCATGTACAAAATTATTCCCTACAGTATTAGTTAACAGTGATAAATTAGAAGCAACCTAAAAGTCCTCCTATTGCAAAGTAATGGTTATGTAAACCATAGCATGTCCACTTAATTAAATGTCATATAGCCATCAAAATCCTCAAAACAGTAAAGGGAGGTTCATATGACAGGATATATAAATGTTACTTTGCAGCTCGGTTTTTAAAAAGGATAGAAAACCAGCTAAATGGAAAGACACCAAAATGTAAAACATAATTGTGATTGGATAATGGCTGTTTATTTCCTTCTTCCTTTCTGTATTTTCCAATTTTAAAAATACAGACAGGTATTACTTTATTATAAACTGTATTTTAAAAAATGTTAGAAGATAGAAACAAATTGAACAAAACTGCAGGATACAAAATCAAAACACAAAAATCAGTTGGGTTTCTAAACACCAACAATGCACAATTTGAAAAGGAAATTAAGAAAACAATTCCATTTGCATAGCATCAGGAAGATGCAAACACTTAGGAATAAGGTAAACCAAGGAAGCAAAAGACACACTGAAAACTACAAAATGTATTTTAAAGAAATTAAAGAAGACACCAATAAACGGGAAGACATCCTGTGTTCATGGATTGGATAACTTAATATTGTTAAGGTGTCAATACCACCGAAAGTGATACACAAATATAATGAAATCCCTGTCCCAACCTCAATGACTATTTTTGTAGATTTTTTTTAGATACTAAAATTCATAGGCAATCCCAAGGGACCCCAAATAGCCAAAACAATCTTGTAAAAATAACAACGTGGGAGATCCCATATTTCCTGATTTCAAAACTTACTGTACAGTAACCAAAACAGTGTCATGCAAGCATAAAGACAGACATGTAGAACAATGAAATAGAATAGAGAGCCAAAAATAAACCATTGCTTATACAGTCTAATGATTTTTGACAAAAGTGTCAAGACCATTCAAAGGGGAATGGGCAGTCTTTTCAACAGTGGTGTTGGAAAAGCTGGATATCCACATGAAAAATAATGAAGTTGGACTCTTATCTTATACCATAAACAAAAATTAACTAAGAATAAATCAAAGACCTAAATATAAATCTTGGAAGAAACTTAAACTCTTAGAAGAAAACATAGGAGGAATACTTCATGACATTGGATTTGGCAACGATTTCTTATACATGACACCAACAACACAGGTAGCAAAAGAAAAAGATAGACTACATCAAAATTTAAAACTTCTGGGTATCAAAGAACAAAATCAACAGAGTGAAATAGGAACACATAAAACAGAAGAAAATATTTGCAAATCATATATCTGATAAAGGATTAATAGCCAGAATATATATAGAAATCCTACAACTCACCAATGACAACAACAACAAAAAAATCAGATTTAAAAAATAGGCCAAGGCCAGGCGTGGTGGCTCACACCTGTAATCCCAGCACTTTGGGAGGCCAAGGGAGTGGATCACCTGAGGTCAGGAGTTCAAGACAAGCCTGGCCAACATGGGGAAACCCGTCTCTAAATAAATAAACAAATAAACAATCAGCCAGGTGTGGTGGCGGGCACCTGTAATCCCAGCTACTCAGGAGGCTGAGGCAGGAGAATCACTTGAACCCAGGAGGTAGAGGTTGCAGTGAGCCAAGATGGCGCCATTTTACTCCAGCTGGGCAACAGAGTGGGACTCCATCTCAAAAAAAAAAAAAAAAAAAATAGGCCAGGCATGGTGGCTCACGCCTGTAATCCCGGCACTTTCGGAGGCTGAGGCGGGTGGATCACCTGAGATCAGGAGTTCAAGACCAGCCTGGCCAATGTGGTAAAACCCCATCTCTACTAAAAATTAAAAAAAAAAAAAAATTAGCCAGCCGTGGTGGCAGACGCCTGTAATTCCAGCTACTTGGGAGGCTGAGGCAGGAGAAATGCTTGAATCGAGGAGGCAGAGGTTGCAGTGAGCCAAGATCGTGCCATTGCACTCCAACTTGGGCAACAAGCAAAACTCCATCTCAAAATTAAAAAAAATAAAAAAATAGAACTTGGACATTCCTCCAAAAAGATATACAGATGCCCAGTAAACACATGAAAAGATGCTCAACATTACCAGTGATTATGAGAAAGCAAATCAAAACCATAATGAGGTACCACCTTACACCCATTAGGATAGCTATTATCAAAAAAGAAAAACAAAAGAAAAAAGCAAATGTTGGCAAGGATGTGGAGAAATTGGAGCCCTTGTGCCCCGTTGGTGGGAATGTGAAATGGGGCATTTGCTATGGCAAACAGCATGGCAGTCTCTCAAAAAATTCAAAATAGAATTATCATATGATCTACCAATTTCTTTCTTCTTCTTTTTGAGACAGTCTTGTTCTGTCACCCAGGCTGGAATGCAGAGGCGCCATCTTGGCTCACTGCAGCCTCCGCCTCCCGGGCTCAAGCAATTCTCCTGCCTCAGCCTCCTGAGTAACTGAGATTACAGGCGCCCACCACCACACTCAGCTAATTTTTGTATTTTTCAGTAGAGACGGGGTTTCATCATGTCGGCCAGGCTGGTCTTGAACTCCTAACCTCAAGTGATCCACCTGCCTCAGCCTCCCAAAGTGCTGGGATTACAGGCGTGAGCCACCATGCCCAGCCATTGATCTAGCAATTTCACTTAAGGAGATATACCCAAAAGAATTAAAAGCAGGGTCTCAAAAAGGTATTCATACACCCAAGTCCATAGCCAAAAGGTGGAAGCAACCCAAGAGTTCAAGAGATGAACAGATAAACCAAATGTGGCATAGACCTACAATGGAATATTCTTCAGCCTTAAGAAAATTCTGACACATGCTACAACATGAACCTCAAGGCTGTCACGCTAAGTGAACCTTGAAGACATTATGTTAAGTGAAATAAGGCAGTACCAAAAGGATGAATACTATATAGTTCTTCAAATTCATAGAGTCAGAAAGTAAAATGGTAGTTGCCAGGGCCTGCAGGTAAGGAGGAATAGATGAGTTATTGTTTAATGGGTACAAAGTTTTATTTTTTGCAAAATGAAAAGTTTGAGAGAGAATAGTGGCCATGGTTTCTCAACAGTGAGAATGTACTTAATGCCACTAAACTGTACACATAATAAAACAGCTAAAATGGTAAATAAGGAAAAATCAACTGTTTTTCCTCTTAATGCTTCATTTCTGTCAGCAGATATATAGGGGTGGGGGTTCCCCCCAACAATCAATTCTCCAACACGAACCAATTCTCTGATACCTACCATTCAATTTAATTCTGACACTAAAGAGTTAGCACAAACCCCAAGGGTTAAGGACACAGTCCCACAAGACTGCTCCACTTCAGATGCCAATCACAAGTCCCACATTGTCACCTGTACTTCTGACCAGCTGGCTATAAAATCTGGGCTTCCACAGTCCCATCCTCAGGTTCAATAATTTGCTAAGACAGCTCATAGAATTCAGAAAAACACTTACCCACATTTACGGGCTTATCTTATAATAAACGATGTGTGATAAAGGACACGAATAAATAGCCATATGAAGAGAGACATAGGGCAAGGTCTGGAAGGGTCCCGAGAACAAGAGTCTGTCCCCATGGAGTTGAGGTGCACCACCCTCCCAGCATGTGGATACATTCACCAACCTGGAAGCTCTCTGAACTCTTTTAATTCAGGGATTTTTATAGAGGCTTCGGATACCGAACCAGGCTTACTCTTCCCCCTTGTTCAGTAAGCCAATCACTGAAATGACAAGTTTTGCCATAGAGAAAACACTTTATTTGCAGGGCGGCCCAGCGAGGGGATGGGAGAACAGCTCTGGAATCTACCTCCCTGAATACAGGGCTCGAGGACATTCATGGGATAAAGAAGTGGGGTGGTCTAAGGCATGGGGAAAGGTGACTGGAGGTGGGAAAAATGAGGAAATCGGTGGTCTGCACAAGCATAGCCAGGGTTCTTGGCAGTTTAGAGGACACATATTCAGAAAATGGCAGTGTTAGCATGAGCTGAGGGAGGAATTTTTGGCCCTTTGACATCTCGCACACTTGTGCAGGCCCAGCCGAAGGGTCAGTGGTCTCAACTGGTTCAAACTGGACAAGAGCTTCCCCCTAGCTCCTGAGAAACAACTTTAAGCAGCCATTACCATAGTGACATGTATATTAGAAACGTTATCCGTAAGGAGCTAGTGGGAGTTTACTAAGATATTGTTTGGCTATGTGATTTTTAGCTATATAGGTTTTCAGGTCAACCAGAAGTCAGCGATGAAAAGCAAGCAAGGCAGGTTACATTTGGTGGGCTTAATCAGGCTAGCCCTCTATCTCACTTCATCACATAGGCACGATCCATTATTAACAGTCTCCAGTCCCTCCCTGCTTCCCAGAGAATGGGTGGTGGGGATGAAAATTTCAAGCTTCTAATCATCCCCTAATCTTTCTGGTGACCAACCTCTGTATAGGAGCCCATCAAGAGTCACCTCATTAAAACAAAAGACACCCCTATCACCCAGGAATGTTTAAGGGATTAAGAGCTCTGTCAGAGACTGATGCCAAAGACCAACTGTTACAACAAAAGATTCTCCTAGCACCTCTATTGCTCAGGAAATTACCAGGGTTTAAGGAGCTCTGTGCCAGGAACTGGGGACAAAGTCTAAAATATATATTTCTTATTATAAATCACAGTATCACAGGTGGTAAATTTTTGTTATGTATATTTTGCCACAAAATTTTTAAAACTTTCTTAAAAAAATACTTGCCATGGGGACCTCTCTCCCTTTTTGCCAATCTTAAAGTATCTTTAACAGAGGCCACATTGGTCACTAAAGCTTTCTTGTAAAAGTGGATGTTTTGGGGAGAACCTGAAAGCCGTGGCTGAACTCTATGTCTGCTTTACGCAAGGCAAAAACAGAAGCCAGAGTTGAAAACAAAGCAGGATGAGAGTATAATTCCCCAGGAATTAACAAAAATTCCTGGAATAACTCCAGACTTTCAAAGCTATAAAATTAGTAGGATCAAAGCTGACAATTTTTAAGGGCTAAAGCTGAATCGAGCTCTGGTTATACGAATAAGTAGAGAATTGCACTAAAATATATATTATGTGCTGAAAGGTTGGAGTTAGAAAATAGCAAGGCTCAGAGAAGAGTGGAGGGGTGCAGATGGTCCATGATGGGTGGTGAGATCTGCTAGGCTGGAGGGTAAGAGAGGTGCTTTTAGGTGCAGGCTCTTTCTTCTTTGTGTCCCCTCCACGAACCTCAAAAGACCATAGTGACTGTTCCATAGCTATGTGATCCAAGTCAGGAACTCAGCTAATGAACATTCTCAGTGCCCAGGTGCCTGAGGCAGGTGTGTGGTTCAGATGATGGAGAAATCTCTCTTTCTTCTGAGAAACTCTAGTAGCCCATGAGTGAGTTCAAGCTTGACTTTATGGGACATTTTTCTACTTTCCAGCTCATTTGTCATGTGGGGATCCTCTGTGTTGGGAACCGATGCTTGGTATCACAAAAATCAACACTGAGACAAAGTATCTCTCTGCAAGGCTAGTTTACTTTCTGCAGAAAGGGTGCCGCTCGCTAGCAGTCTCGCCATGAGAGCACACACGAACAAAGGAGACAGGGTCATTTATAACCTGAAGTGTCCACCCTTCTGCTGTGTCCAGTTTCCACTGGCTGGAACAGGACCTCACATTCTGTACTCTACCCGAATGGCTAGCAACTTAGAACTTCTCAAAAGAGGCAAACGCAGAGAAGAACAAAGGAAGAGAGGAAGTAACTTATGAAATGCTGAGAGAGGCAAAAACACTTCCAAATAAGGAAAAGGAGTAGGCTGTGACCTAATGCTTGCTTGGACTGGTTCAGGCATGCCAGGGCAAATATCTAGGCTAAAATGTAAGAGCTAAGAACAGAGTATATTGATTTCTTTATTACGGCTAACAGAATTTAAGAATATCAGCACAGGTCTCTGAGTAAATTTTGCTTCTAAGAGAGGTTACTATCTATTCTTAATTAGACTGGGAGGAAAGTCCCTTTGAAGAGGAACCTGTATTTATTTAATTTTCTACACTCTGTTTCTCCACTCCCTCCAGAGGAATCTGCTTCTATCAATATTGGGTAGGTGATCCCTAGACTTAGCCTCCAAAATGAACTGATTCTTGTTGTCTGTTCCTCTTCCCACTTTACTAAATCATTTACAGAGATGCCTCAAAGGGGAACGCACAAGGTACAGCAGAACATCACCCTTCTAGGGGAACAGGATAGAATGAGGAGGAGTCAGAATGGCAACTAGAGCTTTGTTTCAAAGCCCACAGTCAAATCCAGAGGCTGTATAGAGAGAGGACTCTGTCTCAAAATCTCTGGTGTCTGAGATTCTGGATTGGATAATTAAGAAAGTTCAGGGTACTTGCAGCAGAACAGAATCCCACAATACTTGCTTCTCAGTTACCTTCCCATATGGAGTCTTGGTCTTTGGGCCAAGCCTTTGTGTCAGGGTTAATCTGGAAAGAAATTCTCATCCTGCAAAACTCTCTCAGCAGATTCCAAAAACTCACTCTGACCTTGGAGACCAGAATCCTACCTGCTGGAGCAAATTGCATCTCGAGTTTTGAGAATCAGCACCCTTATTAAGCAGAGAATGACTGAAAGATCATTGAGGATCACATATCAAAGGCACTTTATTTGAAATTTTCAAAGAATCAACAGAAAATATTTTTATCTACTTTAAATGAATGACAGAAAAGAACACAGAGACCCATGAATTCAATGAAAAAGACATATTATTCATGAATAATGAACGACTGCTGTAGCCCAGAGAAATGATGGTAAGAACTGATTCCCAGCCTTTCATTCTTGTCTTTTAGTGTCAACAGAGTAAAGAAAAGTGATGGCCTCACCTGACCCTACACTGTCTCGTGACATCAAGCTCTCACCAAATGTGACCCACCCCTTGGATCCCTGATTCATTCACCTGGCACCCTCCACTTTTAAAGTATTCTATCCTACCACTGCCAGACTCCACCTTAAGTCCCAATCTGGTGTGATTTCCACATGACTGAACACCATTCCAGAGAGCTCATCTCTAGCTGGCACCCCTGGTTGGCCTCCTCTGTTCTAACATTCCTAAGCATGGACCACTCATACCTGCATGTTTCACATTTCCCTGAGGGCTGGCATCTCGTACCTCCTCCACCAGGTTTTTGAGCAAGAGCTTCTTTCACTTCAACCCCCTCTGGGGAGACTCTGTAAGCAGGCCTATGGGAACAAACAGCATCTTTGTCCTCACCCTTTACATCCAAGTACATCTGAAGATATCTGTTATAAAGAGAGTGGATTTCTAAACTTTGGAAATTGGAAATTTCCTTAGTCCAATAATCCTTTAGGGGCACTATGGGTCATCCTGGCTGTATCCCCATCTCTTCAGATTGCCCACTAACCTAGATCAATGGGCCTACTAAAGCAGCTTTTGTTCTAATAACTGAGTTTTTGGTACATTTCTTATCTCCAAGCACCCACCTTGCAGACCAGTGGAAGTGACTAAGATGCTTCTCTCTCCTGAGTGTGAGACTTTGCCCCAGTTCCCTTTCTCATAATCCAAATCTTACAGGACTGGGATCTGTCTTGTCTCAGTCCTGATTTCTTTTCAAAACCCGGATTCTGTTTCTACTGGCCGGGCACGGTGGCTCACACCTGTAATCCCAGCACTTTGGGAGGCTGAGGCAGGTGGATCACCTGAGGTCAGGAGTTTGAGACCAGCCTGGCCAATACAATGAAACCCCATCTCTACTAAAAATACAAAAATTAGCCAGGCATGGTGGTTTGTTCCTGTAGTCCTGGTTACTTGGGAGGCTGAAGCAAGAGAATCGCATGAACCTGGGGAGGCAGAGGTTTCAGTGAGCCGAGATCTCACCACTGCGCGATCGCCAGCCTTGGCGACAGAGAGAGACTCTGTCTCAAAAACAAAAACAAAACTGGATTCTGTTTCTAAATGACAACTCTTTTTGTCAGTATTATTACTGTTTTTTTTGTTTGTTTGTTTTTTGTTTTTTTTTTCACTAAACTGATTTTGCCACTACTGTGAGTTTTTGGACTTTCTAATGTCTTGTTTCTCCGGGCTGCTGGAGATTTGCCTATGGCTGAAAAGTTCTCCTATGAATGTTAATGTTATTTCATGTATCCAATGACCTGCTCTTCTAGTATTGCTTCTGGCAACCGTTTGAAGGAAAAAATGACCAAAAATCATTACCCAAACTTATTAATCTAGGGAGATGGAGGAAACCCAGCATAGAGCCAGGCTTTAGGGAAAATAAAGCCCTGGAATTTCTCCAAAAGAACATACACCACTTCCATCCACATCCCAGGCGCCCTCAGTATCCAGGCACAGGCCTCCATTCAAATGCAAGGTAGTCTGGGAAATGTAATCTTCCTCTGCTGGAAAAGGAAAATGGCACTGTATACTTACTCTACCACACTTACTTATCAGGTCATTCATTGAGAATAATGACGTTGCTTTACAGGTCAAAAAGAATAAGAAACTAGATAAGAAACTAGAAACAGAAGCAGTCATGTCTCAACTTCAGTACTGAACTTAGTCTCATCTTTTGTTGTTGTTGTTCCAAATATTATGAAAATCCCAGGTCGCAAAGAATAGCAGTACTTAAAAGGCTAGCAGTACTTAAAAGCTTGCTTTACAATGTCAGGATCCTCTTTAATCACACAGAGATAGGAGGAGAAACTTTAGTGTCAAGCATCTACCCAGCCTAGTTAGAGGTATAGGAAACTGTGCTAGCCATCTCCAAAATGTTAATATTTAGCATGCAACGTATCTGAAGATTCACACTGCATTAATTATGGTGCTTACTTGAATGTTATTTCAAATATGAAATTCAAGTAAAATGTCTGTGGAGGCCTCTGCTTTGGAGATCCGCGCACCAAGTGACCTTTGAGCTTTACAGTCCATACCCCTAAGTGGACTCCTGTTGTATGTCCCTGGGGAAGATGTTTCCCTAATTAGGCGTGAGTTAAAGATGGCTTGTCTAATTCATAGGACTTTACCAGACCAAAAAAAAAAAAAAAAGATAGATTCTGTACTGAGCCAAAGACATATGTGACTAGGTTGACTGCCTACAATTTTAAAAGCTGCTGTTTCTATAGGTCAAACATAGCTGAGTATCTGTGATTTTTAGTATAATATAAGCTAATATATTAAAACCGAAAACCCATAGCCCTTTCCTAGACATGTTTAGGAAGAAAACAGACATGTTTTGTTTTAAAACATTTACAAATTGAGCTACTTCACCTGCAGACAAACAAACTTCTATTCTCTTTTTAAAAAAATAGTTCCTGGAAAAAAATAGGAGAAAATCTTTGTGACCTTGGGTTTGGCAAAGATTTTACAGATATGATACCAAAAGTGTGATCCATAAAATTATGAAAATTTAACAAGCTGGAATTCATCAAAATTAATTACTTCTGCTCATCCAAACATATTGTTAAGAGAATGAATATGTAGACTGAATAAGTTCCAGGGTTCTATACCACTGTAGGATGACTATAGTTAATAATACATAGCTTTGAATAGCTAGAAGTATACTGAATGTTCCCAACACAAAGATATGATAAATGTTTAAGATGAGGGATATGCTAATTACCCTGATCTGATCATTATACATGATATGTATCGAAGCATCACTGTGTACTCTATGAATATATACAATTATTATTTGCCAAATATTATAACAAAAACGAGAATAAAAACATAATCCACAGACTGTTAGAAAATATTTGCAAACCACATATTTAACAGAGAAGATGTGTATAGAACATATAAAGAACTATCAAAACTCAATAATAAAAGTGTTTAAAAAACCCACCGTAGATCAATATCCCTCATGAACAAAGATGTGAACATCCTTAAGAAAATACTAGCAGGGCCGGGCACGGTGGCTCATGCTTGAAATCCCAGCACTTTCGGAGGCCGAGGTGGGGGCGGATCACCTGAGGTCAGGAGTTCAAGACCAGTCTGGCCAAAATGGTGCAACCCCATCTCTACTAAAAATACAAAAAAAAAAAAAAAAAAAAAAAACTTGGCCCGGCACGGTGGCACATGCCTGTAATCCCAGCTACTCAGGAGGCTGAGGCAGGAGAATCACTTGAACTCAGGAGGCGGAGGTTGCAGTGAACCGAGATGGTGCCATTGCACTCCTAGGCCTGGGCAACAAGAGTGAAACTCCATCTCAAAAAACAAAAAGAAAAGAAAAGAGAATACTAGCAAACTAAACCCAGCAATGTGTAAAAATGCAAGATCAAGTAGTTTATCCCTATAAGACTGGTTCAATATTTCAAAATTAATCAGTATAATCCACCATATAACAATCTAAAGAAAAAATATGATCATATCAAGTGATACAGAAAAATCATTTGACAAAATTCATCATCATATATGGTACAAACTTTTGGCAAACTGTGAATAATTTATCCCCAACTGATAAAGGATACCTATCTAAAAAAAAAAAAAAAAAAAAAAAAAAAGCTGTAGCTAACACTTTTTTTTTTCGAGACAGCATCTCACTCTATCATCCAGGCTGGAGTGCAGTGGCATGATCACGGCTCACTGCAGCCTCAACTTCCTGGGCTCCAGTAATCCTCCCACCTTAGCCCCCTTGAGTAGCTGGGACCACAGGCATGCACCACCACGCCTGGCCAATATTTTTGCATTTTTGATAGAGATGGGGTCTTGCCATGTTGCCCAGACTAGCATTCATTTTTATCTTTTTTTTTTTTTTTCTTTTTTTGAGACAGAGTGTTGCTCTGTTGCCCAGGCTGGAGTGCAGTGGTGTGATCTCGGCATACTGCAACCTCCACCTCCCGGGTTCAAGTGATTCTTGTGGTTCAGCCTCCCAGGTAGCTGGGATTACAGGCAAGTGCCACCATGCCCAGCTAATTTTTGTATTTTTTTTAATAGTAGAAATGGGGTTTCCCCATGTTGGCCAAGCTGGTCTCGAACTCCTGGCCTCAAGTGATCCACCTTCCTCGGCCTCCCAAAGTGCCAAAGTGCTAGGATTACAGGTGTGAGACACCACGCCAAGCCCAGATTAACATTCTTAAATGGTGAACGACAAATGCTTTTCCCCTGAGACCAGGGAATAAGGTAAAGACATCTACTCCCACCACTACTATAAAACAAATTCCAATCAAAATCCTGGCAGAGTATTTTGTAGCTACAGACCAACCAACTCTAAAATTTGTACAGAGAGGAAAAGAAACTAGGTAGCTAAAATAATTGACATAGAAAGGCAAAGGACCTAGACTACCTAAAAGAATTTTTGAAGAGAGAAACAAACACGTACGAATTATACTACCAGATTTTAAGGCTTACTATAAAGTTACAGTAATCAAGATACTGTGGTATTAGTGAAAGGATAGAAAAATAGATTAATGGAATAGAATATGAAGATCAGAAATAAGTTCATAAAAACATGGCTATTTTTTGACAAAAAGTAAAAAAGCAATTCAGTACATTGCTTTTAATAACTGCTATTGAAACAATTAAACAAAAATGCTCTTCAGTATAAATTTCACATCTTATAAAAAATTTAACTCAAAATGGATCATAGATCTAAGTATAAAACAAAATTATAGAATTTCAGAAAAAAAAGAGAAAATATTTATGACATACAATTTAGTCATGACACCAAAGAACAATGCATAAGAAACTGAGCATCATTAAAAGTTTTTTCTCAGCCTGACACACAGCTGAGATTCCTTAAAAATTTATTTATTTATTTATTTATTTATTTATTTATTTATTTATTTAGCGAAAGTCTCACCCTGTCACCCAGGCTGGAGTGCAGTGGCACAATCCCGGCTCACTGCAACCTCTACCTCCTGGGCTCAAGTCCTGGCTCACTGCAACCTCCACTTCCTGGGCTCAAGTGATTCTCCTGCCTCAGCCTCCTGAGTAGCTGGGATTACAGGTGTGCACTACCATGCCCAGCTAATTTTTGTATTTTTAGTAGAGAAGGGATTTCACAATATTGGCCAGGCTGGTCTTGAACTCCTGACTGAAAATGATCCGCCCACCTAGGCCTCCCGAAGTGCTGGGATTACAGGAGGGAGCCGCTGCACCCAGCCTCATTAAAAATTTAAAAAGACATTGTTAAGTGAATGAAAAGACAAGATACAGACTAGGAGAAAATATATGGAAATTTTGTATCTGGCAAAGAACTTTTATGCAAAATATATCAAGAACTCTTGCAACTCAATAATTTTAAAATGGGTGCAATATTTGAATAGACATTTTACCAAAGAAGATATATAAATGGTTAGTAGGTACATGAAAAGATGCTCAACATCATTAGTTATTATGGAAATGCAAATTTAAAAAGACAATGAGATACCACTTCACACCCACAAGTATGGCTATAATCAAAAAGACAAACAATAACAAGTACTGGTGACTATGTGGAGAAATGGAAACCTCATATCTTGCTGGTGGGAATGGGAAATAGTAGTGAAATAGTATTGAGACGGGAATCTCACTTAGACCACTTAGATCCCACCATGGAGCCACCGAGCTCCCAAAAATGAGTCTCCCTTGATCTCACCCCGTCCAATCTGCTGTCAGCTTCCCACCGGCCCAGAGATCTGCTACTGTAGGAAAATCAGAGGCATATGTCCAACTTAAAGCCTTCAGGCAAAACTAGGGGAAGATATTCCAAACTGTGCATCTTCAGCTCAGACCTCTTCCCCCCATTGTCATCTATGCAACGGCCTACTCAGCAATCCAGTCTCTTAACATTCCAAACTGAAATCTGAATTCACACACACACACACACACACACACACACACACACACCTATTACCCCATCAGGTTGATGGCACCACCATCAACCTAGGTACTCAAGCCACAGTCCTGCAAACTGTCATTCTTCAGATGACTTTCCCTCAACCTTCCCATCCTCCAACAATTCCAACAGCAAACTGATAATTCTCCCTCTAAAATATATCAGCAATCATCCACTCCTCTCCATCCCACAGCCTCCATCATCACCATCACCTCTGGCCAGCGTGACTGCAGTAGACTCCTTATTGGTCTCCCTGCTTCCATTCTTGCCCCCTTCAATCCTTCTCTCCAGACACAGCAGCCCCAGTAAGTTTATTAAAACACACATAAGATCACATCACACCCCTTCTTAAAGGCTTTCATTAGCTTCCCATCTCATTTAGAATGAAATGAAAAGCCCACACCTTGGTTTACTAGCCCAAACTTGACAGAGCTGCATACGGCCTCTCTGAGCTCACCCCCTTCCACTCCTCCCACTCCACTCAAGCCACACTGGACTCCTTGCTGCCACTTGCACTCTCACGCTGTGGCATGCTGTGCTTTCCAAACACAGTCATGTCACCTCCCATCCCTTACGTTCTTATATATTTTTTCTTAACAGTCTTGCTCTGTTGCCCAGGCTGGAGTGCAGTGGCACAATCATGGCTCACTACAGCCTCATCCTCTCAGGCTCAAGTAGTCCTCCCACCTCAACCTCCCACATAGCTGGGACCACAGGCGTGCACCACCACACCTGGCTAATTTTTTCATTTTTTGTAGAGATGAGGTCTCTCTCTGTTGGCCAGGCTGGTCTCAAACTCCTGGACTCAAGTGATCCTCCCACCTCAGCCTCCCAAAGTTCTGGGATTACTACCATGCTCAGCTCTTATGTTCTTCTTAACAATGTGTCTTGGACATGTTTCCTATTGATGGGTGGGGGTCTCTGTTCCCACCCTATGAATCCTGAGAGACCTTGTGACTACAGTGGCAGTGATCGGAAAAGGTGATGCAGCTTCCACCCTGCTGCCTGGACACTCCTACTGTGGCCCAGAACAGCTTGTGGATGATCCAGTGGCCTTGAGCAGTCACACTATGAAGAAGCCTTCACTACTCATGCAGACCAACCACACAGCGAGGCCCTGAGCTGACATGAAGAGGCAGACAGGCTCAGCCAGCTCCCCTCTGGCCTGCCCCTCCACTGTTCCAGGTGTAGCCACTGTCTGAATGAAAGCATAAGAGAAATCCACCCAGCCAAGCCCTTCCAAAATGCCTCACAGGGGAATCATAAGACCATACGTTGATTGTGGTTGTTATAAGCCCCTAAATTTCAGTATGATTTGCTACATAGCAATAGATAGCCAGACCATTTACCATGAGTGTGCTTTCTTCAGGATGCAGACCCAGATCTTATATAGGTTTTAATTTTAAAGAATATCCTCTTAACTAGGATCTGGTGGAGGGTGCCCCCGAATACAGGCTTTGGAGTCAGAAAGGCCTCAGCTTAAATTAGTGGCTCTTAACTCTTTGAGAATCACAGACCCCTTTGAGAATCTGTCCAAAGTTTTAGGACTTTTACTCTGAGAAACAGACAAAAGTGCAAATATAAAACATTTTTCAGATTACCTCAAGGAGTGCATGGACACGCTTTGGTACCTTTCTTGAGCTTCCTGGATGTGTGTCTTTGGATGAGTCGTCTCATCTCTCTGAGCTGTCCGCACTTCCCCCTCCCTATTTGTAGCAAGCTGGGAAACAGACTCAGGAGGGCTGGGTCCCAGGCTGGCCTCTCCCTCATCCCAGCCTGTGTGACTCTCAGACACTTATTTCCCTTGAGCCTTAGTTGCCTGCTACCCCTCGACCCCCAGGAAAATGGGTTTATTGCTCATTTAATGGAGTAACTCAAATGAGATAGGGAAAGTCCTTAGGAAACTCAAAAGCCCTTAGGAGAACAAAAAGCCTGCTGCAAGGTGTTTTACTTTTTCCATTTCAGCTACAAAAAGCGTTCTGCAGATTCATGCCTAAGGAGCTCAAGAATAACGTGGGTCAAATCCCATTACACCAAATCCTATGACAGTGCTCCTTTCCCCTGTAGAAGGCTGCTCTCACCTGTGGATCAAAGCTTCCCAAGGAGTCCTGGCTGACTTGCCTTTGTCCCCAGCCACCCTAGCACAGAGCGTGGCACTGCAGGAGCTCTGCTGCCAAAAACTCCTTTCACCTGCAGTCAAGAACTACATGTGAAGAACTGCAGTTGAGAACTGCACTGTTTGGTCCACATGTTTTTTTTTTTCAATTAGATGCCAACATTTAAAAATTGGGACAATGGGGCCAGGCGCGGTGGCTCACGCCTGTAATCCCAGCACTTTGGGAGGTCAAGGCAGATGGGTCACCTGAGGTCAGGAGCTCAAGACTAGCCTGGCCAACATGGCAAAACCCCATCTCTACTAAAAATACAAAAATTAGCCAAGCTTGGTGGTGCGCACCTGTGATTCCAGCTACTCTGGAGCCTGACGCAGGAGAATTGCTTGAACCCAGGAGGCGGAGGCTGCAGTGAGATGAGATCACATACTGCACTCCAGTCTGGGTGACACGCGAGACCCTGCTGAAAAAAAAAAAATTGGGACGGTTAACATACAAATACTAACAGAAACTCTAGCTTCCCACAGGAAGAGGAGTTACTATTGGAGTAGTCAAAACGATACCAGATCACTCAATAGTATCTACTATGCAGAATGTATATAGGAACCTAATACTGTATTTGGCACAGTCTTAAATATTGTATTCTCTTCTCTCATCCCTCTCCAAATCTGCTAAGCTGAGGTCAAGGCCCTCCCATGAATTCTGTCTAAACAGACTCCAGCCCCCTATGAACATCTTGCGTTGAAAGAAGGAAGCTCATGACTGTAATCCCAGCCCTTTTGGAGGCAGAGGTGGGCAGATCACCTGACCAGCTGGGCAACATGGTGAAACTCCACCTCTACAAAAAATGCAAAAAGTTAGCTGGGCATGGTTGGTGCACGCCTGTAATCCCAGCTACTCAGGAGGCTGAGGTGGGAGGATGGCGTCAGCCCAGGAGACTGCACTGAGCCAAGACTGCACCTCTGCACTCCAGCATGGGCCAAAGAGCAAGACCCTGTCTCAAAACAACAATAACAACAACAAAGCAGGCTGGTGGCTGACATCTGTAATCCTAGCACTTCGGGAGGCTGAGGCAGGAGGATCGCTTGAGTTGGGGAGGTTGAGGCTGCAGTGAGCTATAAGCTATGATTGTGCCACTACACTCCAGCCTAGGTGACAGACTGAGCCCGTCTCAAAACAAACAAACAAACAACAACAACAAAAAAAACCCACCACACACACAAGACAAAGCACAGGGTGCTTCGGTAAGCCATCCCCATGGCCCTGAGCCTCAAATTCTGCACCTGTGAAATGGAATTAATAGTACCTACCTTATGTGAGAATGAAACAGGCTGATGCATGTGAAATGGGTTCTGAGCATACAGTAGGCACTTAATAAATGGCACTATTCTGTGCCATTCCACACTTTAAAAAACTCAGTCTGAAAATAATCTCACTATAAAAGAAATTCTCCAAGAACCTTTCAAAGCCTCCCCCATGGCCAGGAAAAGACCACATCCCCTTCTTCCCAGGAAACACCTGTGCCTCAGGTATCAGCCACCAGTGCCCCCACCTGCCACTCTGCACACCACGTTAGCCCCCTCCACCTTGTTTCTCAGAGATCTGAGGATCTGCACATTCACCTCCCACCACCTCCCTCCCCACCCACCAGTCATCTGTGCTGCCCACCCTGGCAAGCTGTCTCCCTAACACCTCACCTACTCACGGCTTCATGAATTTATTTCCCCACCTTTTTCACCCAGAAGTGGGAGAAGCAGGGATAATCACAAACCAGGAGATGGGTGGAGAGGGGTGGAGAGCTGGTGTAGCCCCACCTCAGTGTGCTCTGCCCACAGCTTCCACCAGGCTACCCTCTAACCTTCTGGTGCTCCTCCCTCCCCTCACCCCGTCCTCTCTGCCACTGGGTGCCAGTAACTCCCCACTATCCCTGAGATTTCAGGGGTTTCAGACTCCCAACTCCACAGCTCTGGCAAGAAGCCTGATTCTCTGGCAGATGCATTAGATAAGAAGACACACTCTCTGACCAGGCGCGGTGGTTCACGCCTATAATCCCAGCACTTTGGGAGGCCAAGGTGGGTGGATCACTTGAGGTCAGGAGTTCAAGACCAGCCTGGCCAACATGGCAAAAACCCAGCTCTACCAAATATACAAAAAATTAGCTGGGCGTGGTGGCACGCGCCTGTGATCCCAGCTACTTAGGAGGCTGAGGCATGAGAATCATTTGAACCTAGGAGGCAGTGAGCCAAGATGGCACCACTGCATTCCAGCCTGGGCAACAATGTGAGACCCCCATTTCAAAAAAAAAAAAAATTGCCTTATCTTCTGAATAAGGCGCAGTCAGAAGACCAATCACAGAGATCCCTGAATCTCCCCAGGTGCCCCAGCTCAGTGACGCTGTCACCCTGGAAATATCACTCTCAAAGCCCACCAAAAAATAAAATAAAATAAAAATTAAAAATGAAAACAGTAATACCAACCCTTACACCATATGGCTCTGTTTTCCCTGCTGGGAACTACAGCAGGTCACACAGTCTGTACAATCTGTACAGCCGGGAACTACCAAGGTCACACAGTCTGTACAGGCGGAGCCAGGATCAAGCCCATATCCCCACTACAATGGCGGTCTGTGTGACCTGGGAAAAGTCTCTTAACCTCTCTGAGGCTCTGTCCCCTTATCTGTAAAATGGGGATATAGCATCCACCTTGCAGGCTTGCTTTGAAAAGCAGAGGAGTGACAGAACAATGGGAACACACTTTGTCAAGCTGTTGGTTGTTGTTACAGAGGAAGGGTTTCTTCTAATGTGGGTTTTGAAAGAAAAATATTAAAAGTCAGTGGACACTTCTGCTTCTAGCAGATGGAGTAAAAGGAAACGGATTTACCCTCCCACTTGGCACAACCAAAATCCTGAAAAAATACAGGAAACAACAGCTCTCAGGCCAGTGGGCATGAGGCAATAAAAGCTAATGATCCCTGTGGCAGCCCTGTGACTGCCCGGCACACCACCTCAAGCAAGTGCCTAGGCATAGGGAGAGGAAACGAGGAGGAGGGCAGGCTCCCTGAACTGAGGAGGCCAAGGCAGTGGGTGTTCACAAGACAGAGTAACAGGCAACAGAAAGCAGGAAAGGAGAAAACTCCAGACTTCTGTGGAGGGTCTGTTTGAGTACTGATCAGTGCAAGCGTTGTCAGGAAACTACCAGAGATCAGAGAAGGAATGATCGGAAAGGACTAGTGAGAACAGCACCTGGGTTCACAGAGGGCTGAGAAGGGCACCTGTTTCTAACAGCCGGACTAGAAACCTAATAATTCAGGGACACTGGTGGTAGAAGCAAAAAGCTCTTGCCTCAGTGATAGGGAATAATTAGCCCTAGGAAAAAAAATGTTGCTCTGTTCTGACCTAACAAATCTTGACAGCCAGACCTGAAAGGATCAAGCTTCTTCTAAGCAGCTTAACTACATCCCAGAACAAAGCTAAAGAATATTTATAGGAGTAATAAAATACCCAGCAACACAAGGTAAAATCCACAGTATCTAGCATCCGGTTGAACTAACAGCACACAAAACGACAAGAAAAGACCCACAATGAGGGGGAAATCAGTCACCTTAAACTGATCCAGAAATGGCACAGATGTTAGAATTAGCAGACAAGAACATCAAAAACAGTTACTATAACTGTAGTCCATATGTTCAAAAAGTTAAGAAGAGACAGAGATGATATTTTTATTTTTTCTTTTTTTCAGCTCTAACTCCAATGGATGATATTTTGTAAAGACCCAAATCATACTTCTAAAGATGAAAAATATAATCACTAAGGTGAAAAAACAGTGGATGAGATGAATGGCAAATTAGACATTGCAGAAGGAAAGATCAGTGAACTTGAAGACAGCGATATATATTATCCAAAATAAAACAGAGAACAAAATAATTTTCAAAAACAGTTATCAGTGAGCTGTGTGACAGCATCAGACAGCCTAATATATGTGCAAATGGGAAGAGGGAGCAAGGGGTACAGAAAAATAGTAATTGTTCAGATTTTTATGAAACATACAAATTCAGCTGGGCGCGGTGGCACATGCCTGTAATCCCAGCACTTTGGGAGGCCAAGGCGGGCGGATCATGAGGTCAGGAGTTCAAGACCAGCCTGGCCAACATAGTGAAACCCCATCTCTACTAAAAATACAAAAATTAGCCAGGCATGGTGGCACGCGCCTGTAGTCCCAGCTACTCAGGAGGCTGAGGCAGGAGAATCACTTGAACCCGGGAGGTGGAGGTTGTGGTGAGCCAAGATCGCACCACTGCACTCCAGCCTGGGCCAGAGCAAGACTCCATCTCAAAAAAAAAGAAAAATAGAAACTTACAAATTCACAGATATAGGAAGATCAAGAAACCCAAGCACAAGTAATGAAGTTTCCTTACTAAAAGAAGCCACCTAATAATAAGAGAGTGCAAAATCAGTGAGAAAACACAAGTAACCAGAGAGAAAAAAGGCACTGCATATAGAGAAACAAGGACACGGATGACAACAGATTGGTCATCAGAAACCATGCAAGTGATAATACAGGAGGGCAATAGCTTTAAAGTACTGAAAGAAAAAGAAACTGTCAGTGTAGAATTCTAAATCCAGTATAAAACAAATCCAAAGTGAAACAGACTGTCAGAAAAAGAAATGCTGAAAGAATTTACTACCAGCAGACCCGCACTAAAAGAAATGTTAAAGGAAGTCTTTCAGGTAGAAGAAAAATGACCCTATATGAAAATGCACATCTATACAAAGGAATGAAGAACACCAGAATCGATAACTGCACAGATGAATATATGACTGTTTTCTTATTTAAAAATCTGTAAAAGAGGCTGGGCGCGGTGGCTCATGCCTATAATCCCAGCACTTTGGGAGGCCAAGGCAGGTGGATCACCTGACGTCAGGAGATTGAGACCAGCCTGGCCAACATAGTGAAACCCCGTCTCTACTGAAAAAAAAAAAAAATTAGCTGGGCGCGGTGGCACGTCTGTAATCCCAGCTACTCAGGAGGCTGAGACAGGAGAGTCACTTGAATCTGGGAGGCGGAGGTTGCAGTGAGCCGAGATCACACCATTGCACTCTAGCTTGGGTGACAAGAGTGAAACTCCACGTCAAAAAAAAAAATAATAATAACTGCAAAAGACAGATGAATGTAAACAAAAATAATAATAATGCCATATAGTGTTTGTAACATGAATAAGATGATACAGCTTAAAGTCTGAGAGAGAAGAAATAGAAATATAACACAGTAAGGTTCTTATACAGGAGATGGTATAACATCACTTGCAGATAGACCGATAAGCTGAAGAAGTATATAATAAACCCTAAGGCAACCACTAAAAGAACAAGAGAAATAGTTATAGCTAATAAGTCAACAAAGGAGATCAAATGAAAACATTAAAAATATTCAATTAATCCAAAGGAAGTTAGACCAAGAGAAAACATAGAACAACTAACAGATGGAGCCAATAGACAACACGTTGCAGGGTTTGTAGACTCAATCCTAACTATATGAATAATCACATCAAATGTAAATAGTCTGAATATCCTAATTAAAAAACAGAGATTGGGCTGGGCTTAGTGGCTCACGCCTGTAATCCCAGCACTTTGGGAGGCAGAGGAGGGCGGATCACCTGAGGTCAGGAGTTCGAGACCAGCCTGGCCAACATGATGAAACCCCATCTCTACTAAAAAAAAAATACAAAAATTAGCCGGGCGTGGTGGTGGGTGCCTGCAATCTCAGCTACTCAGGAGGCTGAGGCAACAGAATTGCTTGAACCAGGGAGGCAGCGGTTGCAGTGAGCCAAGATCGCACCATTGCACTCCAGCCTGGACAACAGAATGAGACTCCATCTCAAAATAAATAAACAAAAGCAGAGATTGATTTTAAGATTTGATTTAAAAAAGTAAGACCCAATTTTATATTCCCTACAATAAATGCACTTCAAATATACCTATCAAAATCAAACAGTGGAAAAAGATATACCACGCTAACACTCATCAAAAAGAGTGGCTATTGTAATATCAGACAATGTAAACTTTAGAGCAAGAAATATTACCAGGGATAAATAAGGTCATCTGATGATGATAAAGGGGTCAATTAATAAAGAGAATGTAACAATCCCAAATATTTACACATCTGTGAAAGTTGATCATACAAATTGGGTTATTCGTGTCATACCCAACTAAAACAGAGTCAAGAGGCCAGAGAAATAAAAGCAATCAGGGCACATAACATTGCTCCAAGAATGAATTCTCTGCAAGCCTAGCTGTTGTAAACTGAAGCCAGTTTATCTAATTAGCTGTTAAAATAACCTGGTACAACTCTAAAGCTAGTTTGACCCACCGCCATCACTCACCAATCAGAACTTGCCAGCTCCCCAGAACCTTACCAGTGACAATGTACTTTCTTGCAAAACAATATGTAACATTTCTCTTTTTCATAACACCTCTAACCTTCTCTTTGTTCTTCAGACATACCAAAACCCACCTGGTCTGTGTGTATGCCCCAACTGCAATTCTTGCTTCCAAAATAAAACATTTTAAATTTAGAGATTCATCTCTTTATTTTATCTGACTTCAACACATCTAATAACAGAGCTTCAAAATATATGAAGAAAAATCTAATAGAACAGCACAGAGGAATAGACACATTTATAATTATAACAAGATTTCAATCTCCCTCTCCCAATCTTCCAGAGATTTCATTGTCTTCCAGATAATGAGTAGGATATAGTATACTTGAACAGCATTATCAACCAACTTAACCTGACATTTATAGAATACTCCACCCCAACACAACAGAATACACATTCTTTCCAACTGCATAAGAAATTTTTACCAAAATATCCATGAGTATGAACTCATGGATATTTACTGTATACTCTGGGTTATAATCCAATACTACTCTCTTTATTCTGCTGCTCCAGTTGTTCCAGCTTTGACCATTGGGAGCTCTTTCAGTCGGCTCCTGTCATGTAACCCCATCAAATACGGTTTTCCTTCTTCAGTACTTCCTTACTTTCTGGTGCTACAAGATGTTCCAGGCTCATCTTGTGTATTTCCTGCCTCAGTCCTAAAATCAGCCACTTCAAGGAGTTCTAGATTGTTTTACTGAAGAATGGTTTTAAAAACCAAGATCTGGGTACTAGGTGTGCTAACTGCTATTGAAGCAAACAATCAATTTTGAGAAAGGTGCAAAGGTAATTCAGTGGAGAAAGCAATCTTTTCAACAAATTGTGCTAAAACAACTGGATATCCATATGCAAAAAAAAATGAGGCTGGGTACAGTATCTCATGTCTGTAATCCCAGCACTTTGGGAGGCCCAGGTTGAAGGACTGCTTGAGCCCAAGAGTGT
This sequence comes from Homo sapiens, assembly GCF_000001405.40. NCBI lineage: Eukaryota > Metazoa > Chordata > Mammalia > Primates > Hominidae > Homo > Homo sapiens. The sequence continues at coordinate 177,841,280 of NC_000005.10, read as the reverse complement.
GAGACCAGCCTGGGCAACATAGTAAGACTCCATCTTAAAAAAATTTTTTTTTACTAATTAGCCAGACTGGAGTGCAGTGGCACAATCTCAGCTCACTGCAACCTCCATCTCCCAGGTTCCAGCAGTTCTTGTGCCTCAGCCTTCCAAGTAGCTGGAGTTACAGGTGCCCGCCACCATGCCTAGCTAATTTTTGTATGCTGAGCCTATTTTCAAACAGGTCATCTTTTAGCTGCTCTGAACTTCATGTTTATTGTGTTGCTGGTCAAAAATTACTGGTTTGGGCTCCTTGAATAAAAGGCTGATTCTAGGCCTGAGGCAGGGAAAGCGTAAGATGAGCCTGGGGCATCTCGTAGTGTAAGAAAGTAAGAAAGCACTAAAAAAACCAACAGGCCAGGTGCAGTGGCTCATGCCTGTAATCCCAGCACTCTGGGAGGCCGAGGCGAGCAGATCACCTGAGGTCAGGAGTTCAAGACCAGCGTGGCCAACATGGCGAAACCCCATCTCTACTAAAAATACAAAAATTAGCTGGGCGTGGTGATGGGTGCCTGTAATCCCAGTTACTTGAGAGGCTGAGGCAGGAGAATCACTTGAACCTGGGAGGCGGAGGTTGCAGTGAGCCAAGATTGCACCACTGCACTCCAGCCTGGGAGACAGAGTGAGACTCTGTCTCAAAGAAAAAAAAGAAAAAAACCAACAATGAAGAAACAGAAACCAGAACAGAGGATGGGTACATGTCAAAGAGATACAGCAGCCAATGTAAAAAAGCTACCAATGGTCAAAACTGGAACAATTCAAGCAATAAACAGAGTAGTATGAGGGGCTTTAAAAAGTTCTTGGAAAAAACGCAATTGAAAGATAAAAATTAGGGCTGGGCACAGTGGCTCACGCCTGTAATCCCAGCACTTTGGGAGGCAGAGGTGGGCGGAATACCTGAGGTCAAGAGCTCGAGACCAGCCTGATCAACATGGAGAAACCCCCTCTGTACTAAAAATACAGAATTAGCCAGGCGTGGTGGCACGTGCCTGTAATCCCAGCTACTTGAGAGGCTGAGGCAGGAGAGTGGCTTAAACCTAGGAGGCAGAGGTTGCAGTGAGCCAAGATTGCACCATTGCACTCCAGCCTGGACAACAAGAGCAAAACTCCGTCTCAAAAAAAAAAAAAGTAAGAAAGGTAAAAATTAAAAATACAAACTTTATTTCTTAACAGACGCTCCATCAAGTTCAAGACACTTTTATAAGTGATGATGCCAGCCATTTAGTCCATTCTTAAAGAACTGAGGGTCCTGGGAATTCAACTGTGATAACGTAGCATTTTTTACGTTATTAATGGAAGAAAAAATGGGTGCCCTTTAAAGATTTTTGTAAGATTAGAAAACAAAAAAAATAGAAGGAGCCAAATGAGAACTGTAAGGTGAATGCCTAATGATTTCCAATAGAAACATTTGCAAGGCCAGGTGCAGTGGCTCATGCCTGTGATCCCAGCACTTTGGGAGGCTGAGGTGGATGGATGACCTGAGGTCGGGAGTTCAAGACTAGCCTGACTAACATGGAGAAACCCTGACTCTACCAAAAATACAAAATTAGCCGAGCATGGTGGCACATGTCTGTAATCCCAGCTACTCAGGAGGCTGAGGCAGAAGAATTACTTGAACCTGGGAGTCGGAGGTTGTGGTGAGCCAAGAGTGCGCCATTGCACAAGAGCGAAACTTGCAAAATTGCCCTTGTTTGATGAGAGGAATGAGCAGGAGCATTGTCGTGGTGGAGAAGGACTCTATGGTTAAGCTTTCCTGAGCTAAAGCTTTTTTTTTTTTTTTTTTTTTTAGCTTTCTGCTAAAGCTTTGGCCAACTTTCTGAAAACACTCTCATAATAAGCACATTATTGTTCATTGGCCCTCCAGAAAGTCAACAAGCAAAATGCCTTGAGTATCTCCAAAAACCAGTTGCCATGATCTTTGCTCTTGACTGGTCTGCTTTTGCTGTGACTAGACCCCTTCCGCCGCTTGGTGGCCATTGCTTTGATTGTGCTTTGTCTTCAGGATTGTACTGGTGAAGCCACGTTCCATCTCCGGTTACATGTCTTCGAAGAAATGCTTCAGGATCTTCATCCCACTTGTCTAAAATTTCCATGGAAATCTCTGCTCTTGTCTGCAGCTGATCAGGGTGCAATGGTTTTGGCACTCATCGAGTAGAAAGTTTTCTTAACTTTTTCAGTCAGAATTGTGTAAGCTGAAACAGCTGAGATATCTATGGTGCTGGCTATTGCTTTTGCTGTTAATTGCCAGTCCTCTTCTATTAAGGCCAAACCAAGATGAATTTTTTTCTTGCAAATTGATGCAGATAGTCTGCCACTGCAAGCTTCATTTTAAACATCATCTCATCTCCTCCCTTCTTAAAACAATGTATCCATTTGTAAACTGCTAATTTCTTTGGGGCATTGTCCTCATAAACGTTTCAAAAAGCATCAATGATTTCACCATTCTTCCACCCAAGCTTCAATTTGATGTTTCTGTTCCACTAATTTAATGTTTGTCCCTGTTTCAAATTTAGCAGAATTTATGTTTTTCTGAAAGGGGCTCTTTTCAAACTGACGTCTTATCCTTCCTAGTGCCTCAAACTAGATTCTGTTCAGACATGTTATAACATGTTAGTATGAGTTTATTTTGATGTGAAAAAATGCTTGAAATCCGTGTATAGTTTTTTTCATAATATTAATACATACTTTCCATGAACTTTTTGAAGACCTTCACATCGGATTATAACCCAAAGTATGAAATAAATATAAGCGAGTCCATACTGATGAAAACAGATGATTAAATAAATCAGTGTGGGAGAAGAAACAAATTTTCCTTACAGAAGAATTCCAACTAATATCTGTGAACACTTTTCCCACCCCCAAACCCACCCACCAGAAGGTGAAGCTTAATCCTCTCCTCCCACTTGAGGATGGGCTGGACTTAGTGACTTGCTTCCAACAAACAAAGTATAGAATATGGGAAAAAACAAACTTTATGGTGGAAAAGCCTGGGAAACATTACCCTAAACAAGTGAGGAAGGTTAACATTATCAGTGATAAGTCATGCTGATAATCACATACCTCTGGTATGATAAAAATATTTCACCTCTCTGGGGTTCTTCCCCCAAAACCATAATGGTAGTTAATGGAGTCAAGGACGTGCTATCCCCAAATATGCTTAATCGGTATATTGATTATTTTGAATGAAAAACATTGGAGAAATTGTAGCTTCAGAAAGGGCTAGCTGACCTGTCTCTCCCTGCATGCAGCCAGCCATAAAGATTCCTCCCAGTGACATGGCAAGAAAATAGTCCCTTATCACCAGAGACTGAAAATTAGGGCTGCAATGAACCTGAAAAATAAACTTCCTGAAACAACCCTTACTTTCTTATTTATTTATTTATTTATTTATTTATTTATTTATTTATTTTAGACGGAGTCTTGCTCTGTCAGCAGGCTGGAGTGCAGTGGTGAGATCTCGGCTCACTGCAACCTCCCCCTCTGATTCTGCAATTTGATTCTGAACATAAAGCAAGCCCAGACTCTGCTAAGTGATTTTCCCCTGTGGTCTGTGTAGCCTGCTACCTCCCTGAGCTGTAGTGGGATGTCCAGGGGTAAAGAGAATGAGACAGGAGTTGGCGAGTTCCTCTTGCTCGGCATCACCAGTGACTCAGGGAAGCAGCAGGCCCTCTTCTGGCTCTTCCTGTGTATGCACTTAGTCACTGAGGCTGGAAACACACCCATCATCCTGGGCATCGGCTCCAACCTTCGCCTGCACACCCCCATGTACTTCTTCACCCATCTCTCCTTTGTCAACATCTGCTTCATCACCAACCTGATCCCCAAGCTCCTGGTCAACCATGTGGCAGGAACAGGGATGATCTCTTTTTTTTTTTTTTGAGACTGTCTTGCTCTGTCACCCAGGCTGGAGTGCAGTGGCCCAATCTCAGCTCACTGCAAGCTCCGCCTCCCGGGTTCACGCCATTCTCCTGCCACAGCCTCCTGAGTAGCTGGGACTACAGGTGCCTGCCACTGTGCCTGGCTAACTTTTTTTTTTTTTTTGTATTTTTAGTAGAGACGGGGTTTCACCGTGTTAGCCAGGATGGTCTCCATCTCCTGACCTCATGATCTGCCCGCCTCGGCCTCCCAAAGTGCTGGGATTACAGGTGTGAGCCACCTCGCCCGGCCTATGGACGATCTCTTATCCCCAGTGCCTGACTCAGATGTACTTCCTCATCTCCTTTGCCAACGTGGACACCTTTCTGCTGGCCATCATGGCACTGGACCACTATGTGGCCATCTGCAGCGCCCTGCAGTACTGCTCCATCATCACCCCCGGCTCTGTCAGGGGCTGGCCGTGCTAGCGTGAGCAGGCTCCAGCCTCATCTCCCTGGTCCACACGGTCATCATGAGCAGACTGGCCTTCTGCTCCTCCGCCCAGATTTCACACTTCTACCGTGACGCCTACCTGCTCATGAAGATTGCCTGCTCACATACATGACAATCAGCATGTGTTCCTGGGGGCTGTGGTCCTGTTCCTGGCTCCCTGTGCACTCATCTTGGTCTCCTACATCCGCATTGCTGCAGCCATCCTCCGGATTCCATCTCCTACAAGAAGGCGCAAGGCATGTTCCATATGTAGCTCCCACCTGTCTCTGGTCACCCTGTTCTATGGAACTGTCCTGGGGATCTGCATATGACCCCCAGACTCCTTCTCAGCCCAGGACACCATAGCAACCATCATGTACACTGTGGTGACCTCTATGCTAAACCCCTTCATCTACAGTCTGATGAACAAGGAGGTCCAGGAGGCCGTGAGAAGGCTCTTCAGTAGGGGCTCACACTCATCATGGTGCTGGTGAGTGCTGGGCCGATGTCTGGGGAGGTTCAAGATAGGAGGAAACAGAACCCGACTCTGGACGTCACCTCAACACCACTTCCTTCCACACACCAATTTAGACCATTTTTAGAGACGGGAAAAAAAAACTGAAAGTGGGAGAAGAATTAGAAGAGAATTTTACTATTATTAGAAGAGATATGCCTATTTCTGGGAATCTAAATCAGCTGCAGGTAACAGAAAATCCCAATTACATCTATTTAAACAAGACGGGTTTATTTTTGTCTTCCATAATGACAATTCCAGAATGGGAAGTCCAACGCCAGAAACGTGGCTCCTTCTAGATCCCTCCTCCCCCAGCCATAGAGTGAGGCTTTCATCCCTGTGTTTCCAAAATGGCTGCTGGGGATCCCACCATCTTGTCCTGTCTCAGTGGAAGGATGAGGAGAGGAAGGGCAAAAGAAGTTTATCACTTTCCAGGGATTTCCCAGAATCACCACTCAGCATCTTCTTTTCACATCTCAATGGCCACCTGCCTGCCACGCAGGCTGGGAAAGGTTGTTGTCATATGTTGCTGTTGTTTGTTCACTTGTTTGTTAGGGTTAGATACATCGCCACTTCCAATAAAATATAGATTATCTTAGAAAGGATGAGAAGGAAGTGGATAATGGACAAACAAAGGGAAGAAATGCAATACCTGACTTATTTTGCCACATTCACAGATGTGAGGTCATATTGTTATTTTAGGAGTTTTGTACATGGATTCCCTCTGGACTGATTGTGTATTAGGAGACAAACCAGACGGGTTTCCACACTCCTGAGGCTACAGAATCTGAAGACAAATCCCGCAGTTCTCCCAAACATCAGAGTGAGGTTCCTTCTGGTGGAGACAAGCAGTGTGAGAAAAAGTGATGGGCAGATTTAGTGGCATTAACTTTTTGTGAGACTATAATTTTTTTAAGGAGGAGTAGATTTTATTTGAGATTTGTTTTTCCTCTGTGGGAACCTCTGTGTTTTGTTTGTTTGTGACAGAGTTTCACTCTTGTTGCCCAGGCTGGAGTGCAGTGGCACGATCTTGGCTCACCGCAACCTCTGCCTCATGGGTTCAAGTGATTCTCCTGCCTCAGCCTCCCAAGTAGCTGGGATTACAGGTGCACGCCACCATGCCCGGCTAATTTTTGCGCTTTTAGTAGAGACCAGGTTTCACCATGTTGGCCAGGCTGGTTGCAAACTCCTGATCTCAGATAATCTGCCTGCCTTGGCCTCCCAAAGTGCTGGGATTATAGGCATGAGCCACCGTGCCCAGCCCCTTTGCGGGAACTTAATATGGGGGAAAACTTATACTGTTAAAATTTTGCACATTGTACTATTGATATAAACTGCTCTTAAAATAAAGCACCAAAATACCCCAAATGTAATAAAGGAGACAATGAAGCATATAGTAAAATAGCAAATATTTCACAAGGCTTTGTGGAACATATATTTCTAGGTCCAATATCAAGGGCTAAATCAATACAATTTGTAAAAAATCAGCTGCAAGAGACTTTTTAATTGCTATGCTTTCTTAGTCTGATGTTTTGACATTGAGGACCTCTATAATGGGAGAGGGACTGTGCCTCTGAGAGTTAGGTAATTCCTAGAGATAGCAAACTACTCAACCAGGGTGGTGCCTTTGACATGCGAGCTCATCATTCCAGAACCCAGACCACTCCCAGCTCCTCACTCTGGGCCAACACTCCCATTCCATAATCATCCCAGGTCCAGGTATCAGGCCACTAGGTACAGATCCTATGCCCAGAGCTCACTGAAATTACTCAAACCAGCCAATCCTAAACCTGTGTAGCCTGCCTCTCCCATTCCTAACTGCAGAAACCATAACAAAGGATCTTCCTCATGTTTTCTTCTTGCTTCCTCTACCTCCTGACCAACGCTAGTACTTCCTATGTGGCCCACCGTGGCATGCTGTGCCTCCTGTTTCTAGCAATCTGTGATATAAAAACTTCTTCCTTCAAGGCAGTCATTTCTGTGTCTGTGTGTCTTACCATACCTGATTAAAACAAACCCCGGGAACATGTTTATCCCGATGTGATTGTTTGTTTGTTTTTGTATTTTTGGTAGAGACAGAGTTTCACCATGTTAGCCAGGCTGGTCTCGAACTCCTGACTTCAAGTGATCTGCCCACCTCGGCCTCCCAAAGTGCTGGGATTACAGGCGTGAGCCACCTCACCCAGCCCCGATGTGATAGTTTTATAATTGAGAATATCCAGTATGCTTGGAGTGGTGAAGCAGGCACTTAAGGTGTGAATCAAAGGTTAATCAAACTGTGATTGATGGTGATACAAACAGGAGACAGGGAAATACTGGGTAGAAGAGGGTGGCTCCCTGGCAAAGGCCCCACCCTCCAGCCTGAAGACCTGCAGCCCTAAGTGAGGACAGGCATTTCTGTTTTCATGCCCAAAAAGTTGCCTTTTGGCCCTCCATGCCCCCCATCCTGTGCCCATATAAACCCAAGACCTTAGGGGGTACAGACAGAAGTGGCTGAATGTCAAGAGGAGCAGAGGAACAGACCAGCAAACACCAGCAGACCAGCAATGGTGGAATGACACAGCAGAGAAAGGGAGAAGAGGACGTCTAGACACTGAGGGGAGTTCAGCCGCGGATGGTCGGGCTGACTCTAGGGGAAGACCACCTTCTCATTCCATCCCCACTTCCAGCTCCCCATCCATCGCACTGAGAGCCACCTCCGCCACACAGTAAAACCGTGCACTCATCCTTTCAGCCCACGTGTGATCTGATTTTTCTGGTACACTGGGCAAGAACTCAGGCTGTCACACTGGCCCCCTGCCCTTGCAAAAAGGCGGAGGGTTTATTGAGCTGATTAACACAAGCCGTCTGCAGATGGCAAAGCTGAAAGAACACACTGTAACACATGTCCACGTGGGCTTCAGGGGTCGTAGACACCCCACCCTAGGCACCGCCATGGGGCCGGAGCCCAAAAGCACTCCCCACAGCCTCTGCATCTGCCCGTCTGCATGCTCCTGCTACGGGCTGGAGCAGCCATACTCCTGCTGCATGTCCTGCCAGGGGGATAAGGGACCTCTCCACTTTCAATGGGAGAGTAAACTGGGACAAACTTTCTGAAAGAAAATGTAGCAATTTTTACCAAAGCCAAAAAAACCCGGCTCAACAAATCATATTTTAGGAATTTATCATTAAAGAAACATAACAAGTTGTTACGACGTTCATTATACGATATTGATAATAATAAAAAGAAAAGATTTAGATGTCCATTGCTTTGGAAGTGTTAAATAAATTATTATTTTGTTCTTAAAAATCATGACAATCTATACTTACTAACATGGAAAGATGTCAAAGATACACTCAGGTTTTTAAAAAAGCAAGTAAAAGGACAAAATAAACGACTCTGTACACATAATCATGCACAGAAAAATGTTAATAGTTATATACAAAATCTTAAGGATGATACTATCTCTTAGCGAAGGGAAATTTTCATATAAAGTTTTTGCATCCAAATATTTTAAGGGAGTGTTTTTTCTCTTATAATCAGAAAAAAAGCAGTTTCATTTATTTAAAAACTACAAAAATACTGAGGGTAGTACACAGAAGCCTGTCACTTACATGTTCCTTCCAGTTTGCCTGACTGAGGAGGAAGGCCCAGCGGTGATAGACAATGGAGCAGCACGTTGGTGGTAGGCTTGAGGAAGTAGTTCTACAGGGCAAGCCAGAATGGAGAGAGGGATATCATGCAAAAGGGCAGAGTAGGGAGCTCCAGGGTCAGCACCCCCACCAAAGCAATGACTGACCTTGAAAGAGCAAATGGAATCAATGATTTTGGAATCCTGGAACCTGATTGGACCCTTAGAACAACCAGTGGAGTGCTTCATGAAGGGGGAGGCTACTGCGCTTTGGTACGAGAGCAGCATGCATAATCAGCTACCACCCCTCCTCCCACCATTTCTCAGCCCCACTGGAGGGTCAGGCTGCTGCCAGATCAGAAAGCCGGGACCTTGTCTTGCAAATCTGGGGATTGTATAATACGTATTGGGTGATCTGAATAGTATTCTGAGGGACCAAAGCAGACATCAGCCTTGGTTTCATCCCACTTCTCTACAGTAGCTTCTCCAAACCCTTAAAGAGATAAAGCCCCTTTTTGTCCCCTTTTTGGAGCCAGGCATTTAAGGGACTCTCATCAGTTGATGCAAGTGGAGGGCTCACTTCGTTTCTTTCCTTTTTCTCAGGAATTACTGTCCTTTACCGTTTGATGCCCAGTGTCCTAAAACCATCAACTCATACATTTTGTCCATTTTCAGCCAGAAGATAAGTTCACTGTTACTCCATTCTAGCCAGAAGTGGACGTCCAATTAATTTTTATTTTTTTGAGACAGAGTCTCACTTTGTTGCCCAAGCTGGAGTGCAATACCGTGATCTCAGCTCACTGCAACCTCTGCCTCCTGGCTTCAAGTGATTCTCCTGCCTCGACCTCCCAAGTAGCTGAAACTACAGGCACACGCCATCACGCCCAGCTAATTTGTGTGTGTGTGTGTGTGTGTATATATATACACACACACACACATATATTTTAGAGGAGATGGGGTTTCACCATGTTGTCCATGCTGGTCTCAAACTCCTGACCTCAAGTCATCCACCGGCCTTGGCCTCCCAAAGTGCTGGGATTACAGGCATGAGCCACCACGCCCGGCCTAGATAATTTATTTTTGACAAAGACCTCAATGCAATTAATTGAGGAAAAGGGCAGTCATTGCAACAAATGGTGCTGGAACAACTGGATTTCCACATGCGGAAAAAGTAAACTCCAATCCCTACCTCATGTCATACACGAACATTACCTCAAAATGGATCACATGTAAGGGGCGAAACTGTAAAGGTTCTAGAAGAAAACAAAGGAGAAAATCTTTACAACCTTAGTGGGTGTAAAGGTTTCCTAAATAGGACACATAACTTCTAACTATCAAAGAACAAAGTGATAAACTGGACTCTATCAAAATTAAAATTTTCTTTTCACCAAAAGATATCCTTGGCCTGGCATGGTGGCTCACACCTGTAATCCCAGCACTTTGGGAGGCCAAGATGGGTGGATCACCTGAGGTCAGGAGTTCAAGACCAGCCTGGCCAACATGGTGAAACCCTGTCTCTACTTAAAATACAGAAATTAGCCGGGCCTGGTGGCAGGTGCCTCTAATTCCAGCTACTCAGGAGGCCGAGGCAGGAGAATTGCTTGAACCCGGGAGGCAGAGGTTGCAGGGTTGCAGTGAGCCGAGATCGCGCCATTGCACTCTTGTCCTGGGGGACAAGAGTGAGACTTCGTCTGGAAATTAAAAAAAAAAAAAAAAAAGATATCCTTAAGAAAATGAAAAGGCAAAAGCAAGCCACAGACCAGGAGAATGAATACGAGTATATATATATATATATATATATATATATATATATATATATATATAAAATATATATAATATAAAAATTGTTTATATAATGTATTCTGGGAGGATTTTTACCTAGAATATATAAACAATTCACACAAATATTTAAGACAAACAGTGTAATAAAAATGGGCAAAGGACTCCTTGTGATTTGGGTCAGGGCAGACTAGCTGTGATTCAGGTCCCTGAAGGACATGAAGCTATGCCAACACTGGACATACATAGCGCCTGCTCACAGTGAATGATTGCTAGTAAAAGTTCATAAACAACATGAAATATTCAATAACAGTGCACATGCACCTGCTAATGTATACAATCCAAACAGGCATTTCAGAGTGCTTCTCATCTGTGATGCCCAGAAAAGACAAATAAATTTGTCAAGAAAAAGCTAAGGGAAGTTAACTATAAGTAAATCTGCCCAAAAGGCAGTTTAAGTTCATAGACTGTCATGAGGTTCAATGAAGTTGAATTGATGGCTAGGGAAACAGAAAGCCACAGCTCTAATTGGGGCCTCCAGCATCAGCAAACTCCTGACTCTCTTTAGACAGGCTGAAACCCTTTGCTGTCAACTAACCCACATTTGTAGAAATATTTGGCATTGATTTGGTTTTTTTTTTTTTTTTTTTGAGATGGAGTCTCATGCTGTCGCCCAGGCTGGAGTGCAGTGGCGTGATCTCAGCTCACTGCAACCTCCACCTTCCAGGTTCAAGTAATTCTTCTGCATCAGCCTCCCAGGTAGCTGGGATTACAGGTGTGTGCCACCAAGCCCAGCTAATTTCTGTAATTTTTTTTAGTAGAGATGGGGTTTCACCATGCTGGGCAGGCTGGTCTTGAACTCCTGACCTTAGGTAATCCACCCTCCTTGGCCTCCCAAAGTGCTGGGATTACAGGAGTGAGCCACCGCACCCAGCCTGGAATTGATATTATTTTGATATTATATTCTGGGATCCATGGAGTAGCAAGCTGAGCTCCAAACTGATCCCACAGTTCATCCGATTAGTGGGTGAGATCAGATAGTGACCAGAGGTGGAAATCATGCAATCTTTGATGATAAGAGGACAAAGAATTATTGCCTCATTAGTACAGTGTAAAGGCTATATCATGGGCTGGGCAAGGTGCTAGTCCCAGCACTTTGGGAGGCCGAGGCGGGTGGATCACCTGAGGTCAGGAGTTGGAGACCAGCCTGGCCAACATGGCGAAACCCCGTCTCTACTAAAAATATAAAAATTAGCCAGGCGTTGTGGTGGGCGCCTGTAATCCCAGTTACCCGGGAGGCTGAGGTGGGAGAATTGCTTGAGCTTGGGAGGTGAAGGTTGCAGTGAGACAAGATCACACCACTGTACTCCAACTTGGGTGACAGAGCAAGACTCCATTTCAAAAAAAAAAAAAAAAAAGAAAAGGATGGGGGGCAACCACAAGGTGGTTCTGGTCACGCTTGGGCTCATCCCCATGTGAAAGCCTCGGAGAGTGGCACCTGGCAACTACATCTCACCCCCATCATTCCCACCCTGCAATGTGCAAGCCCAAAGGACGAGGCATGCGGACGAAGAGGAAGGAGGGCAGGAGGCCTAGGACACCATTGTGTGGTGTGCTATATATGAAATGGCCGGGTCCTCTCTAACCTCCAATCCACTAGGAGAAGCACCCAAGAACTCTCCATGCAGGGCATGCAAGAGAGAAAGAGCAGATGTCTGCCAGCTGCACACAGTGCTGGGTGGACGGCAGAATGGCCTGACTCAAACAGCTGCTCAGTGTGATGTGACCCTGGCACCACAGGTGGGAACGTGGCAAAGGTGCCTGAGCTTCTGTGGATGGCGGTAACCTGAACAGCCCAGCAAGAAGTCTGGCGAAGTTGGCTGGAATATAACCAATGATCTGTGCTGCCATGTAAGGAAAAATGGTGCTGATGCAAACTAAAAAAAGAAAAGCTTTCCTGAAGTAGTAATTAAAATAGGCTTTTGAGAGACTATAAAAATATTGACTGGGTATTTTAACAATATGAACCAGCGAGATGTGAACATAACTTCGTTCTTTTCGGACTGGGGAGAGTTGTGCTTCCAGATCTGGAAACATCCTACTTTATTACTGGATCAACATGGAGTGTGAGAAAAGAGTGAGACCAAAGAGAATCTCAAATTTCTGACCCGAGTAGCTGAAAGGACAGAGTTGTCATTAACTGAGATTTTTTTTTAAAAGTAAGCCAACAGCGGGCGTGGTGGCTCACGCCTGTAATTATTCTAGCACTTTGGGAGGCCGAGGCAGGCGCATCACAAGGTCAGGAGATCGAGACCATCCCAGCCAACATGGTGAAACCCTGTTTCTGCTAAAAAAATACAAAAATTATCTGGATGTGGTGGCGCGTGCCTGCAGTCCCAGCTACTAGGGAGGCCGAAGCAGGAGAATCGCTTGAACCTGGGAAGCAGAGCTTGCAGTGAGCCGAGATCGTGCCCCTGCACTCCAGCCTGGTGACAGAGCGAGACTCTGTCTCAGAAAAACAAAAACAAAAACAAACAAAAAAAAGTAAGCCAACACCAAGTCCTGTCCTAATGTCAACAGGACTTTGGGTGATACTGACATGTCAGTGTTGGTTATTCAGTTGCAACAAATGTACCTCTTTATTTCTTTTTCTTCCTCCCTTCCTTCCTTCCCTATCCTTCCTCCCTCTTTTCTCCTTCTTTTTCTTTCTCTTTTTCCTTCCTTCCTTTCTCTTTTTCTTTCTTTCTTTTCCTTCCCTTTCCTTCTCTTTCTTTCTCTTTATTTCTTTTCTCCCTCTCTCTTTTTATTTTTCCTGGGTCTTGCTCTGTCACCCAGCCTGCAGTACAGTGATTTGATCACTGCTCTCGAAGCTTTGATCTCCCAGGCTCAAGCAATCCTCCCACTGCAGCCTCCTGAGTACCTGGGACTACAAGCACATGCGGTCTCGCCATTTTGCCCAGGCTGGTTTCCAATTCCTAGGCTCAAGTGAGCCTCCCGCCTTCAGCATCCCAGAGTGCTGGGATTACAGGCGTTAGTCACAGCACCTGGCCACTCAAATGTACTAATCTTGCAGGATGTTAACAGGTAGGCTGTGAGTGTGTGGGACAAGGGGCTATGAGAACTCTCTGTACTTCTGGCTCCATTTTCCTGTAAACCTAAAAACAGCTCTAAAAAATACAATCTATTTTTTTAAATATGGGTAAAACTGATTTGGGAGATAAGACAAAATATCCTATTTTAAAAACATGTTAATTTTGAGATACCTAAAAGAAACACTTGCTGAAGTATGAAAGTGATCGAGGAAATGGGGAGATGTGAGTCAAAGGACACAAAATAGCAGATATGTGGGATGAACGAGTCTAGACATCTAATGTACAACATGAGGGCTAAGGTTAATACGATTGTAATGTACTAGGGATTTGTGTTCGATAGATTCTAGCTGCTCGTCACAAAAAAGTAACTACGTGAGATGATAGATATGTTAATCAGCTTCATTACAGTAACTGCTGTACTAGCTATATGTATCCCATAATATGTTGTAATCCTCAAGTGTACACAATAGCATTTATTTTTAGAAAACAAGTGATACTATACTCTGGTTTGATATGTTATTTCTGTCAATTAATACTACACTTTGCATGTTAAGCACTGTCATACTATTAGATAACACTGCTTACAAAAATACTATGGATACTATGAAATTATTTTGACCCAAACAATGACCTTTCTTTTTTTTCTTTTGAAACAGAGTCCCCCTCTGTCACCCAGACTGGAATGAGTGATGTGATCTCAGCTCACTGCAACCTCTGCCTTTGAGCTCAAGTGATTCTCCTGCCTCAGCCTCGCGAGTAGCTGGGACTACACGCATGCGCCACCACACCTGGCTAATTTTTTTTTTAATTCTTTTTAAATTTTTGAGGTGGACTCTCGCTCTGTTGCCCAGGCAGGCTAGAGTACGGAGTACAGTGGCGCAATCTCGGCTCACTGCAACCTCCGCCTCCCAGGTTCAAGTGATTCTCCTGCCTCAGCCTACTGAGTAGCTGGGATTACAGGTGCACATCACCATGCCTGGCTAATTTTTGTATTTTTAGTAGAGACAGGGTTTTACCATGTTAGCCAGGCTGGTCTCTAACTCCTGGCCTCAAGTAATCCTCCCGCCTCGGCCTCCCAAAGTGCTGGGATTACAGACCTGAGGCACTGCACCTGGCCACAACGACCTAATTATTTAAGGAATAAGTGGGATGTTAATGGCCCATTTTATAATTCAAATCCTGGTGATCATGAGTATATTAACTTATATTCTTTTCTATATTTAAAAAAATAAGCAGTGTGTTATTACACTATAGTTTTGCAAGATGTTGCCATTGCAGAAGCTGGGTGAAGCATACATAGGATGTCTTTGATTATTTATTATACCAGCATGTGAACCAACAATTATCTCAAAAATCAAAGTTTAATTAAAAAAAAATTAACCAAAGATCAAGGGGATAGATGATAGGGATAGGAAATGAGTTAACAAAATCCTTTATCCATCTCTGTAAAACAATTTGACCTTGGGTTAGCTTACTACCGCAGTTCCCCTACCTACCAAGAAAGCACGTCAACTATGTTCCTAAAGCAACTTATTTATAGTTCTGATTGCCTTGGTAACCTGCTAGAAACACTCATCAGTTTCACTACTAGGCAACACTGCTTATGACAAACCTGACTCCTGGTTGGTAAACTGTATCTGAACTTGGCAAGCCCCTTGCAGGAACACTGAAAACCACACTCACTATATTCATAGGTTACTATAAGATAGTGGGTCTGGTAGGGCTTAGGGCTTCAAAGCCAGCGTGAGTTCTTCTTACCTGAGCTGTCACTTGACACATCAGAAGAAACAGCTGCTGAATACCTGTGCGTGCTTTTTTTGTTTTTGTTCTTGAGACAGAGTCTCACCCTGTCACCTAGGCTGGAGCACAGTGGAGGGATCTTGGCTCACTGCAACCTCCGCCTACTAGGTTCAAGCGATTCTCCTGCCTCAGCCTCCCGAGTAGCTGGCATTACAGGTGTGTGCCACCACACCTGGCTAATTTTTGTATTTTTAGTGTAGGCAGGGTTTCACCATGTCGACCAGGCTGGTCTCAAACTTCTGACCTCAGGTGATCCACCCACCTCGGCCTCCCAAAGTGCTGGGATTACCGGTGTAAGACACTGCGCTTAGCTGCTTTTTTTTGTTTGTTTTTTAATTTAGATTTTCCTTTTTTGGAATCAGGGTCTCTCTCCATCACCCAGGCTGGAGTATAGTGGCACAATCATGGCTCACTGCAGCCTCCAACGGCTGGACTCAAGCAATCCTCCCACCTCAGCCTCCTGCATAGCTGGGACTACAGACACACACCACCCCCACCACATCCAGCTAATTTTTAGGGGGGTGTGTGTGGTTTTTTTTTGTTTTTTGTTTTTTTAAGAGACAGGTTCTCACTATGTTGCCCAGGCTGGTCCCGAGCTCCTAGGCTCAAGTGATCCTCCCTCTTCAGCCCCCCAAAGTGCTGGGATTACAGGTGTGATCCACAAGCCCAGCCTGTATGTGCTTCTTAAAAGACTACTCTCACTGATGGACAATGTCTGACACAGACAATCTCACATGCTGTGCTCCCTGCATTTAATCCAAACATCATTGAAGCAATGTGATAGTGTGAGGCAATGTAATAGGTGAAGCTGTGGCTGCTGAGCCAGAAGATATTTCTGAACACTTGGTCAGGAGGATGATCACCCAAAAGTTACACCTATCTAATCTTTGAAGCTCTAATCCATCATCTAAGCTCTTCATGTTAAGACCCATGGGTATGTTTATTAACCATATTTATTAACCTCTCCTTCTTGGGACAGAAAACGTTTACCTCAACTTAAAGATTGTTGCTCAGATTTGTCCTTCTGTGTGGGTCATAGCTGCCTGGTGTCTGGAAGCCTTGGGAACACCCTGGCTCTGTTCCTCCAACACAGAATCATGCGCTTTGTGAATGTGCTGCTTTAGGCATTCAGCTGCAGGGGAAAACTTTAAAGGTTAACTTGAAATATTTGCAGAGAATATTCTGTGGTAGCAAGACATTAACATAACACAATTTGCTGCTACTTGGTCTTTGCTAAACAAGCTATTGCTACTTGGTGTTTGTTAATGAAAGGAGCTCTTAAGACTCTTATGAATTTGTCCTGCTTAAAATATATTATATTGGGCTGGGCGTGGTGGCTCACACCTGTAATCCCAGCACTTTGGGAGGCCACGGTGGGCAGATCATGGGGTCAGGAGGTTGAGACCATCCTGGCTAAAACGGTGAAACCCCATCTCTACTAAAAATACAAAAAATTAGCTGGGCATGGTGGCACGCACCTATAGTCCCAGCTACTAGGGAGGCTGAGGCAGGAGAATTGCTTGAACCCAGGAGGCAGAGGTTGCAGTGAGCCGAGATGGCACCACTGCACTCCAGCCTGGGCAACAGAGCGAGACTCCGTCTCAGAAGAAAAAAGAATCATATCGTCTCAAACAGGCAGCGAAGATTGAAATGTTGCCACCCATAGGATTCTTCACTGGAGGTGACTAAGACCAGCATAAGTCCGTGTTATTTGCACCACTAAGTCATATTTCTCAGACTGATGTATTGCCAAACCAAGAAATGGAAAGTATTAAGATAATGTCAATAATAACGTGAATGAGAATAGAGTAAGTGTGGACCACTTGTTAGAACTGGCTCGATTACAAACGTGTTGCTCAAACCTAATAGCTTTAGTCTTCTTCAAGAAGATTAGATTTGGATTTCAATTAGTGTTACTAACTGGCATGGGTATAATGATATGCTGAACCTGTAATATGATTACAGGTTCAGGTCCTTATTTGTTATATTATTAGACAATTTCTGTTAAATGTCATATAAGAAAAGTGTAAAAGATGATTGCAGAATCGGAACCGTGGGATGAAGCGGAACGTGACACACTGAGGTCTTACGGGTGGTAGAGCAATTTGCTCCCAACTGGGACCATCTGAAGGCACAAGGCTGTGCCCCAGCTCAGGTCCACAGCTAAACATTGAGAAACATATCAGCAGAATGCAGAGCCTCTCCTCCGGTAAATTACTTGAGATGAAAGTTCTTAACCAACATGAAATAACTGAACTGAGTTTGATAAAATTCAGCTGGGCCTTTCAGGGGCCTTTCCCACCAGCAGAACCCTCATTTGGGAAAAGTAAATTTGCCAGGAGAAAGTTAAGAGAGGCTACGTTGAGTTAACTTGAACAAGCGGCTAAGGGACAGTTTAAGTTTATACGGCAATTAGAGGTTTAATGAAATTTAATTTACAGCTGGGAGAATAAGAAATTGCTGTGTCTACTTGGGGACATCCAGCATCACTGCAATTCTCGACTGTCTTCAGACCTGCTTGTATCCTTTCCTACCAAATAAGCATGTTTCACAGAGACTTCTAAGACTGAGATGTTAATTTGCAAGAGACTTGAGCAGACATTTTGCAAAGGAATATATACAAATGGCCCGTAAACACATGAAAAGGTGCTCAACGTCATCTGTCTTCCGGGAAATGCAAATTAAAACTACAATGAGATACCACTATATAGTCAGGCTAAAATGAAAAAGATGCCACTAGCAAGTGCTGGTGAGTATATGAGCGGTCAGAACTCTTATACACTGCTCTTGGGGGTGTACAGTGATACAACCACCTTGGAAAACTATAGCAGTTTGGAATAGAGTTAAACATCACCTACTGCTATGGACAGAATGTTTGTGTCCCCTCCTAAGTTCATATCTTGAAGCCCCAACTTCCACTGTGATGGTTTTGGAGACAGGGCTTTTGGGAGATAATTAGGGTTAAAGGAGGTCATGAAGATGGGGCCCTTGCAATGGGATTAGCATCCTTATAAAAAGAGACTCCAGAGAACTTGCCCTCTCTCTTCCTGTGTTGTAATTTCTTTCTAATGTGGTCTTGAGGCATCTCTTTCTGGAGAGTGGCTACAAACAATAACCCTGCCCTCACAGGGCACCAAGCATGTTGCTCATAAAAGGAATGTTTACAGTTTACCTTTCACAGGATCCTTCTTGATCCTGGCAGGTGGCCTCATGCCCAAGTGCTCAACCTGTGACAGATGTCCCTTTCACAGGAAGCTTGTATATAGAGGACGATGCCCTTGTAGCTGTTGTCTGACCTGTGTTCAATTTATTCCTACCAAGACAGCCACTCTCTAGGGCAGCCCTGATGAGGAGGGTTGGGTTTGGGTGTGTCAGTCAGGTGAGACACAGTGTGTGCAATAAAACACATGAAATAGCAGGAGTAGTTGATTACTCACAGATCCCAGAGAGAGGAGGGCACCATGCCTCGCAGGGCCAGCAGGAAGTGGGGAGCCATTCAGGATACCCACGTTTAGCCAGCAGGTGGGGACTGAAAGAGAGAGGACCTCTAGGACTAAAGCCTTTATTGGGGTCCAGGGTGTGACCCCAGCAAGTTTCCCATAGGAAGCTCTAATTGATTGTTTAGAGCAAGCAGGCACGAGCTCCAGGTGATCATGCTGTGACTGGGAAGTGGGCACTGTGGTGTATCTGGGCAGACCACGTAGGGTGAGGGGTCAGAGGGTGAGTCAAGGGCAGACCACGCAGGGTGAGGGGTCAGAGGGTGAGTCAAGTACGTTGTATCCAGCTCCCCTCCAGGGAGGTGGTGCCTGGGAGGTGGCTGTACATGGCAGATATCTGAGTTGACCACTTTGAGGAACTGGAAGGAGTTAAAGAACTGGAAATGGTGTTAAGGGTAATTATGCCATGCTTCTGGTATGAGAAAGTCCAACTTAAATTCAAAACGGGGGCCGGGCATGGTGGCTCATGACTGTAATCCCAGCACTTTGGGAGGCTAAGGTGGATGGATCACTTGAGGTCAGGAGTTCGACACCAGCCTGGCCAACATGGTGAAACCCTGTCTCTACTAAAAATGTAAAAATTAGCCACGCGTGGTGGTGCATGCTTGTAATCCCAGCTACTCGGGAGGCTGAGGCAGAATCGCTTGAACTCGGGAGGCAGAGGTTGTAGTGTGCCAAGATCACGCCACTGACTTCCAGTGTAGGTGACAGAGTGAGATTCTGTCTCAAAAAACAACAACAACAAAAATGGATTCCATGGCAACATAAAATTGTAGGAATTCACTACACCATGCACCTACACAAAGAAGTAATCACAGGTACACACATAGGGAGACAACTTGTAGGCACAAACCAAGAGAAGAGGCCTCAGAATGAAATCCACCTTGCCAGCACCTTGACCTTGGACTGCCCAGACCAGAACTGTGAGAAATTTCTGTTAAGTTACCTAGTCTATGGCATTCTGCTATGGCCACACAGGCAGACCAATATACCTAACTAACAACCATCAATTCTGTCTTCGGTATTTGTCCACAGGAGATGAAATCCATGTCCACTACAAGACTTGTACACTAATGTTCACAGCAGCCTTACTCACAATAACTTCAAAACAATGTAAATATCCATCAATGGTAACTGGAGAAACAAATTGTCTGTGTGTGCAGTGCAATACTCCACAGCAATGACAATGGAACTACTGCTACGCAGGGCAGCACACATGAATCTCATGAGTGATATAATTTCATGAAAGATGCCAGATGCAAATAAAGCACAGACTATATGATTCCATTTGTAGGAAGTTTTAAAACTGGTGACATTAACCTATAGGGGAAGAAGTCGGTCACTGATTCAAGAAGTACCTTCTTGGAGAGCACCAATGTCCCCACAGAGAGCCGCCAAGAGTCACCAACCAAAAAAAATAGAGATGGATGGAAAGCTCCCAAGCTGCAGGGTTCTTCCCACGCAGAACCAGAACGCAAAGGAAATGTGTGGACACCACAGAAAAGGAACCAACACCAGGACAGGGGCCGGGAGGAGGAGGAACAAGGGTTCCGAGCGAGAATCGGTCCTCCAGGGATGGTCGGGGATTGCACGCAGTGGCCATGCTGCGAACGCTCTCCCCAGCCCCCACCACTGGACAGATTGTTTTGAAGATGTTGAAAGAACTTTTCTTAAGACAAAGAGAATGATCTGCGGGTTTCAAAGTCAATGGCATCACATATTTCAACATCGTCCAGAAAACAGCCTCTCCTGGTAAATCCTGTCTCTGGTTATTCCTCACAGACTCAGCCCAGCTTCTGGGCAACATCAAAGTCAGCTTCCCCTGGGAACCCAGTGAGTGTCTGCTCCCATCTTCTCCTTAATGAACAGCCAGTCTGTAGGCTTTAAATATAGTCTGCCACTATCTGTTTAAATTGTTGTGTACATTCACACACACACACGTGCACACATGCACACAACAGCTTCTGTCAGCTTGCGGGGACATCCATTTTGTAAGCAATGCAAAGTAAAGCTGTGATCCAATCTGGGTGAACCTCCTCCTCCCCGACTTAGAATCGAAGCAGAGTGTACTGCGGCAGGGAGCTGGGGGACGACGACGCAACCTTTGAAGACCTGCCTCTAAAAAGAGTCAAGTCTTGTCTGTATCAGCAGAACTTAAAATTAAAAGGCAAGAGCCACAGCTCTCACCAGCTCTTTAAAAGGTTAAAATTGGCTGGGTGCAGGCTGGGTGCGGTAGCTCACGCCTGTAATCTCAGCACTTTGGGAGGCCGAGGCGGGCGGATCACGAGGTCAGGAGCTCGAGACCAGCCTGGCCAAGATGGTGAAACCCTGTCTCTACTAAAAATACAAAAATTAGCTGGGCACAGTGGCATGCACCTAATTTTTAAAAATTAGCCAGGCAAGGTGGCATGCACCCGCAGTCCTAGCTACTCAGGTGGCTGAGGTGGGAGGATTCCTTGAGCCCAGAAGTTCGAGGCTGCACTGAGCCGAGATCGTGCCAGTACACTCCAGCCTGGTGACAAAGTGAGGCTTTGTCTCTAAATAAATAAATAAATAAATAAATAAATAAATAAAGTGTCTGGAAATTGTCCTAAGGGCATACAGCAAATGAAGAAATATTTATTCTAGAAAATCTACAAAAATTCAGAAAGAACCATGAGTCTCTGTGATATTGAGCTACAACCCACTCCCTTCTCCTCCTTCCCCCAGCTCAGAGTGATGGAGGCTCTGCTCCAGGTAGGTCGGGTTAAGAGTAGGTGGTTCCCTCCTTGCTCAGCTGCCACTCAAGCTCACCATATCACACTGGGAGGCATGGGCTGCCAGCATTTCTCATCCCCTCTCTTGAGGAACCACAAAGAAAAGAACTGAAAAATATAGTTAAAGAATCATTAAAGTAACCAAAATGTGACACTGGAAAATATTTACTGAATGCAAAAGAATGTAGTAAATAAGGTAGGAGAGAACAAAGAAAGACATGAGACATAGAAAACATGAATGACAGACACAGATCCAACCATATAACAAAATCCTTAAATGTGAACAGATTAAACAATCCAATTAGAAGGCAGAGATGTCAGGCTTGGTTAAAAAACAAACTATATGCTGTCTACAGGAAACACACTTTAGATTCAAAGATACAAACAGGCTGAAAGTAAAAAGATGGGAAAAAGACATACCGTGAAAACAGCAACCATAGCAAGCTGGAATGGCTATATCAATATGAGACAAAATAGACTGTAAAAATGTTACAAGAGGCCGGACGTGGTGGCTCACGCCTGTAATCCCAGCACTTTGGGAGGCGGAGGTGGGTGGATCACTTACGCTCAGGAGTTCAAGACCAGCCTTGCCTACATGGTGAAACCCCATCTCTACCAAAAATACAAAAATTATCTGGGTTGGTGGCAAGTGCCTGTAATCTCAGCTACTAGGGAGGCTGCGGCAGGAGAATCACTTGAACCTGGGAGGCGGAGCTTGCAGTGAGCAGAGATGGCACCACTGCACTCCAGCATGGGTGACAGAGCAAGAGACCCTGTCCCAAAAATTAAATAAATAAATAAATAAATAATAAAAAATAAATTAAAATGTTACAAGTGATAAAGAGAGACATTTTATAATGAACAAAGTGTCAATTCATCAGGAAGACACAACGGTTATAAACATATGCAACTAACGAAAGAGACCCAATATGATGCAAAAATGAACCACAGAACTGAAAGGAGAAATGGACAATTGAACAGTAATAGTTGGAGACTTCCATACCCAACTTTCTTTTTTTTTTTTTTTTTTTTTTGAGATGGAGTCTCCCTCTGTCGCCCAGGCTGGAGTGCAATGGAGCTCTATCTTGGCTCACTGCAAGCTCCGCCTCTGGGGTTCACACCATTCTCCAGCCTCAGCCTCCCAAGTAGCTGAGACTACAGGTGCCCGCCGCCATGCCGGGCTGATTTTTTTTTGTATTTTTAGTAGAGATGGGGTTTCACCGTGTTAGCCTGGATGGTCTCGATCTGCTGACCTCGTGATCTGCCTGCCTCTGCCTCCAAAAGTGCTGGGATTACAGGCGTGAGCCACCATGCCCAGCCTTCCATACCCAACTTTCGAGAACAGATACAACAGCTAGATGAAAGATTAACAAGGATATAGAAGATGTGAACATTGTTAATCCAACCAGACTAACAGATATCTACAGAACACTCCAACCAACAGAGGCAGAACACACATTCTTCTCAAGCACACACAGTACATTCTCCAAGACATACCATGTGCTAGGCCATAAAACAAACCTCAATAAATTTAGAAAGACTGAAATCATATAAAGTACATTCTGTGGCCACAGTAGAAATTAGAATTCAATAACAGAAGACCATTTGGGAAATTCACAAACATAGAAAAATTAAATGTCACACTCCTAAATAACAAAGGGATGCTATGGTTTGAATGTATCTCTCAAAACTCATGTGTTGAAAGCTTAATGCCCAATGGAACAGTATGGGCAGGTGGGGACCAATGGGAGGTGTATAGCTCATGAATGGAAACGCCACTATAAAAAGGGCCCATGGAAGCAGTTTCTATCTCTCTCTCCCTGCCCCCACCTCCTGCCATGTGAGAACACGGTGTTTCTCCTCTCTGGAAGACACAGTGCTCAAGGCACCACCTTGGAAGCAGAGAAACCAGGCCCTAACCTGCCAGCACCTTCATCTTGGATTTCCTAGCCTCTAGAACTATCAGAAAATAAATTTACATTCTTTTTTTTTTTTTTTTTTTTTGAGACAGTCTCGCTCTGTCGCCCAGCCTGGAGTGCAGTGGCGCAATCTCGGCTCACTGCAAGCTCCACCTCCCGGGTTCATGCCATTCTCCTGCCTCAGCCTCCCGAGTAGTTGGGACTACAGGCGCCCACCACCACCCCTGGCTAATTTTTTTTTTTTTTTTTGTATTTTTAGTAGAGATGGGGTTGCACTGTGTTAGCCAGGATGGTCTCGAACTCCTAACCTCATGATCCGCCCGCCTCGGCCTCCCAAAGTGTTGGGATTACAGGTATGAGCCACCGCACCCGTCCAGGTTTGTTTTAAATTTATTGAGGCTTGCTTCATGACTGAGCATGCGATTGATCTTAGAGAGTCTTACCTGTGCAGATGAGAAAAATGTATATTCTGTGGTTGTTGAGTGGAGTGTTCTGTAGAAAACTATTAGGTTAACTGGTCAAGTGTTGAGTTTAAGTCCAGTTTCCTTGTTAATTTTCTGTGTTAATGATCTGTCTAACGCTGTCAGTGGGGAGTTGAGGTCTCCCTCAACTGTGTGGTTGTCTAAGTCATGTTGTAGGCCAAGAAGAACTTGTGTTATGAATCGGTTGTTCCAACGTTGGGTGAATATATATTTAAGATAGTTAAGTCTTGTTGGATTGTACCCTTCATCATTATATAATGGCCTTCATTGTCCTACTTAATTTTTATTGCTTTACCATTTGTTTTATCTAAGAATAGCAATGCCTGGGCTGGACGCGGTGGCTCAGACTTGTAATCCTAGCACTTTGGAAGGCTGAAGCAAGTGGATTGTTTGAGCACAGGAGTTGGAAATCAGCCTGGGCAACGTGGCAAAACCCCATCTCTACCACAAAATACAAAAATTAACCAGGTGTGGTGGTGCATGCCTGTAGTCCCAGCTACTCAGGAGGTTGAGGTGGGAGGATCACTTGGGAGGTTGAGTGCAGCGAGCCATAATCACACCAGTGCACTCCAGCCTCGGTGACAGAGCCCATCTCCAAAAAAAAAAAAAAAAAAAAAAAAAATGGTGACTTTTGCATGGTAGATATTTCTCCATCCCTTTACTTTGAGCCTGTGGATGTTGTTACACGTGAGATGAGTCCTTGAAGATGGTGGGTCTTGCCACTGGATCAGAGATTTAAGTGTAAGGCCTCAAACCATAAGAACTCTAAAAGAAAACCTAGGAAATACCATTCAGGACATTGGCCTTGGGAAACAATCTATGACTAGGTCGTCCTCAAAATCAATTGCAACACCAACAAAAGTTGACAAGTGGGACCTAATTGAATGACAGAGCTTCTTCACAGCGAAAGACATTATTAACAGAGTAAATATACAACCTATGAAATGAGAGAAAATATTCCCCAACTATGCATCTGACAAAGGTCTAATATCTGCATCTGTAAGGAACTTAAATCAACATGCAAAATATAAATAACCCTATTAAAAAGTGGGCAAAAGATATAAATGGACACTTCTCAAAAGATACACAAGCAGACACACATGAAAAAATGTTCAGCATCACTAATCATCAAACAAATACAAATCAAAATCACAATGAGACACCACCTTCCTCTTGCAAAAATGGCCATAATTAAAAAGTCAAAAAACGGTAGATGTTGGTAGGAATGTGGTGAAAAGGAAACACTCTTACTCTCCTAGTGGGGAATGTAAGTGAGCATAACCACTGTGGAAAACAGTATGAAGAGTCCTTAAAGAAATAAAAGTAGAACTCCCATTCAGTCCAGCAGCCCCACTACTGGGTATCTACACAAAGGAACAGAAGTCATCCTGTGAAAAAGGCACATGCACATGCATGTTTGCACAATTCACAAGTGCAAAGACGTGGAACCAACTTAAGTGCCCATCAACCAACGAGTAGACAAAGAAAACGTGGTATATATACACCACGGAATACCACTCAGCCATAAAAAGGAACAAAATAATGCCTTTTGCAGCAACTTAGAGGGAGCTGGAGGCCATTATTCTAAGTGAAGTAATTCGGGAATGAAAAACCAAAAATCATATGTTCTCACTTAAAAGTTAGAGATAAGCTACACCGATAAAAAGGCCTAAGAATGATATAATTGACGCTGGGGACTCAGAGAGGAAAGGATGGGAGGGGGATGAGGGATGAAAGACTACATATTAGGTACAGTGTACACTGCTCAGGTGACGGACCCACTAGAATCTCAGAACACATCCATGTAACTGAAAACCACCTGTACCCAAAAACTGTTGAAATAAAAATAAAATTTAAAAAGTAATTATTCCTGGGGATCTGTTTAAAATGTACTGTCAATATTCCATGACCCGACTCTTTTAAATTCCCATTCAAAACCCTACAAATACTCAGAAACAGATTTAACATCTCAAACCATTGCAAAAAAATTCACTGGGCCTGGTGGTAGGCACCTGTAATCCCAACTATTTGGGAGGCTGAGGCAGGAGAACTGCTTGAACCTGGGAGGTGGAGTCTGCAATGAGCCAAGATCACCGCACTGCACTTCAGCCTGAGCGCTAGAGTGAGACTCTGTCTCAAAAAAAACCAAACTTATAAAAAAATCACCCAGAGACAATGACTGTTAACATTCCTGGCTGGTGTATTTTCTTCCTGCTCCTGTTCCTTATTTTATTTTATTTTATTTATTTATTTTCTTTTTTTTTTTGAGATGGAGTTTCAATCTTGTCGTCTAGGCTGGAGTGCAATGGTACGGTCTCGGCTCACTGCGACCTCTGCCTCCCTGGTTCAAGTGATTCTCCTGCCTTAGCCTCCCCAGTAGCTGGGATTACAGGCATGCGCCACCACGCCCGGCTAATTTTTTGCAGTTTTAGTAGAGATAGGGTTTCTCCGTGTTGGTCAGGCTGGTTTCGAACTCCCGACCTCAGGTGATCTGCCCTCCTCGGCCTCCCAAAGTGTTGGGATTACAGGCGTGAGCCACCGCACTTGGTCCCTGTTCCTTTTTTTACATGGAGGTGACATTTTCTGCTCCACCTAAGGAAGGTCATGGCCTACATGATTCTACATCACTTTATTGAAATATCATGACAGCCTGGCATGGTGGCTCATGCATGTAATCCCAGCACTTTGGGAGGCCAAGGTGGTAGATCTCTTCATAGGGGGTTCGAGACCAGCCTGGCCAACATGGTGAAACCCTATCTCTACTAAAAACACCAAAAAGTTAGCTGGGCGTGGTGGCGCATGCCTGTAGTCCCAGCTACTTGGGAGGCTGAGGCACAAGAATTGCTTCAACCCAGGAGACAGAGGTTGCAGTAAGCTGAGATTGTGCTGCTACACTCCAGCCTGGGTGACACAGTGAGACTCCAAAAAGAAAAAAAAAAGAAAGAAAGAAGAAAGAAAAGAAAGGAAAGAAAGGATCAAAGAAAAGAAAGGAAAGAAAGGATCAAAGAAAAGAAAAAAGAAAACAGAAATATCATGACAGGCATCATCACTCTAATTTCACCAACAGGGAAATTAACGCCTAGGGCAGGTTAGAGGCCACAGAGCTTAGAAGGGCCAGGACTGAATGTGAATGCAGGTCCCTGAGGCCAAGTTCCAGAATCTCACCACGCCAGGATTCTTTCGAGGAAGTTCATTCCCTCATTCCTGTACACATTCACTTAAGCATGCCAAGGACCTTGTGGGTCCTGGCCTGTGACAGACCAGGGGTGACAGAGTCTAGCTGGCAGTAGTCCTGCCATCAACCAGCTTCCGTTCTAAAGGCTTAATGTCTGCAACCCAGGGCGCCCACTACCCAGAGTAGCCCAGCAGGAGTGAGTGGGGAAGGCGATATGCCCCTTCAAAAGGACTCACTCTCTGCCCAGCTGTCAGCACCTTCCGGGTCCCCTCAGCTCTCAGTTCGAGGCCACCCTCTTCCCTGGTGGCCAGTGACTGAGCAAGTGGTATCAGGGCCTTTTCTGTCTAACAGGGGACTCCTCTGTCAGGCACTTAGATCCAGAGCTCCTCTGCTGGTGCCCTCTGCCCAATCCAGTTCCTCCCCATTTATTTTTCTTTTTGAGACAGAGTCTTGCTCTGTTGCCCAGGCTGGAGTGCAGGCATGATCATAGCTCACTGTGGCCTCCAACTCCTGGGCTCAACTGATCCTCCCACCTTAGCCTCCTGAGTAATCGGGAATACAGACACCACGCCAGGCTAATTTTTTTTATTTTTATTTTTTTTGTAGAAACAGGGTTTTGCTATGTTGCCCAGGCTGGTCTCAAACTCCTGGCCTCAAGAAATCCTCCCACCTTGGCCTCCCCAAATGCTAGGATTTACTGGCATGAGCTACCATGCCCAGCTCCCTTCCTCCCCTTTGCTCTCCTAACTCCATCTCAGCATCTACCCCTGAGGACCAATGCAACAGGGCACTCAGTGCATCTGTGAACCTCCCATCAGTCCTGTGGTGGACTACTGTCCCCTCTGGTGCATTCTTTGTCCCCATCAGCCTAGTAAGCTCCAGGGGCTGGCAGCTGGCACAGAGTAGGAGGCTGCACTCCCTGACTTTTCTATGCTGCACACAGTCCTGTGACCATCTTGTCCTCAGACCTGCCAGGGCCATGACCAACCTGCCAAGGGTGTGGGAAACTGTGTGTGACCCAACTCTAGGAGGAGGTGGAGCAGGCGGAACGTAGGGGAAGCTGCTGCCCCAGTAGGTTTAGAGGAAGGGTGGGGTGTGGCAGGGCCAGGCAAGTGAGGGTGTGAGGGTGGGGGTGTGAGGGTGGGGGTGTGTGGGTGAGGGTGTGGGTGGGGGTGTGTGGGTGAGGGTGTGGGTGAGGGTGTGGGTGAGGGTGTGGGTGGGGGTGTGTGGGTGGGGGTGTGTGGGTGAGGGTGTGGGTGGGGGTGTGTGGGTGAGGGTGTGGGTGGGGGTGTGGGGGGGAGGGTTTGGATGGGGGTGTGTGAGTGAGGGTGTGGGTGGGGGTGTGGGTGAGGGTGTGGGTGAGGGTGTGTGGGTGGGGGTGTGGGTGGGGGTGTGGGTGAGGGTGTGGGTGGGGGTGTGGGGGGGAGGGTTTGGATGGGGGTGTGTGAGTGAGGGTGTGGGTGAGGGTGTGGGTGAGGGTGTGGGTGGGGGTGTGTGGGTGAGGGTGTGGGTGAGGGTGTGGGTGAGGGTGTGGGTGGGGGTGTGTGGGTGAGGGTGTGGGTGAGGGTGTGGGTGGGGGTTTGTGGGTGAGGGTGTGGGTGGGGGTGTGGGGGGGAGGGTTTGGATGGGGGTGTGTGAGTGAGGGTGTGGGTGGGGGTGTGGGCGAGGGTGTGGGTGGGGATGTGAGGGTGGGGGTGTGTGGGGGAGGGTGTGGGTGGGGGTGTGTGGGGGAGGGTGTGGGTGGGGGGGTGTGGGTGAGGGTGTGCGGGTGAGGGTGTGAGTGCCTGTCTGGCTCTCCTGGGTGGGGCTGGATGAATGTTTGGGCACAGGCAGCAGCTGTCACATGGCCTGGCTGTGGGTTTGGGACGGAAACCAGGTAGGTGTGCCGTATCAGGCACAGCTACAAACTGTGCCAAGGAAACAGTCAGAGCAGGGGCCCGGGGAAACTTCTGCCTTGGCAGAAGGTACTGGGGAGATGGGATGATTTGGGGAGGTCTTCCAAGGCCCATGGTGCTTCATGGAGCCAGGGCCCAGGGCAGGGAGGGCTATAACCCTGGCTTGCCTGATTGGCTGAACACAAACAGGATGGAAGGGGGTGTGAGCAGCCCGCTAGGTGGATGCCTAAGTGAGGAAGGAATGGGTGGCCACGTGGCTGAGACCCCCAAGACCAGGACCCCACTGTCAGGCCAGTGGCTTCCATAGGCCAGTAAGAAGCGTTCTCCTTTGGGCACTGAGGCCATCGGCTTCAGCTTCACACCCTTTTCCAAACAGACAGAAGTCCTTCAGGTAACCTCAAAAGTCACTTCTCCTGGCCTTCCCCAGAGGGGAAAGGAGAGAGCGGTGCTTGTGGCAGGGGGCCCTCAGAGCTGGTGGAGGGCACAGCAGAGAGACTGCTTGCATGTGGGAGGCCCCCAGCAGACCTTGCCCAGATGTCAGCCCTCGTTTGAGGCAAACTATAAAATTATTACAATTTAGGCCAGGCGCAATGGCCCATGCCTGTAATCCCAGCACTCTGGGAGGCCATGGCAGGAGAATCTCTTGAGCCCTGGAGTTTGAGCCTGCAGTGAGCTATGACTACACCACTGCACTTCAACCTGGGCAACAGAGGAAGACCCTGTCTCTAAAATAAATAAATAGGCTAGTCGTGGTGTCTCATGCCTGTAATCCCAGCACTTTGGGAGGCCAAGGCAGGCGAATCACCTGAGGTCAGGAGTTCAAGATCAGCATGACCAATATGGTAAAACTTCATTTCTACTAAAAACACAAAAATCAGCCAGGTGTGGTGGCACGTGCCTGTAATCCCAGCTACTCAGGAGACTGAGGCAGGAGAATCACTTGAACCCGGGAGGCAGAGGTTGCAGTGAGCTGAGATCACACCACTGCACTCCAGCCTGGGCGACACAGCAAGACTCCACCTCAAAAAAATAAAAAATAAATAAATAAATAAAAGATGGAAAAGCTATGTTCTTAACATTTTTGAAATGATAATTCATACTAAAAAATGTTACCAATATTAATGCACAAAGCATTTTATAAGTTTTAGACTATTAATAAAAGATACTAAAACTGAATTTAAGTATTTGTAGCCATAATTAACACTATAAGTTTGTATACCTATAATGTAGCAACTAATTATCCAAAAATTTAATAAATGACAAAATAAAATTTTGCAAACAGATTTGTAATAACCAGAAAGAAATCTGTATTGGCAATTAATGTAACATAATAAAAATAATTTGTTATGGTCATCTGCTAAATGCTAATTAATGTAAAATGTTAAAAGATTATCTTAATTATGACATCTTAATTTTTAATGGTTTTAAATATTATAAATATAATAAGGGGTTTCTAAATTTAAAAGAGGAATGACTAAATTTTTCAGAATTAGTTCATATTTCTTGTTGTACAATATAAGAACACCATTCCACTTTTCCTGTTAGATTAGGAACCCTCCCTTATTATCTCACTGAAGGAGAATGCTGGATGGTGCTACAAAGAAGGCAATCTAAGGACTCCAGAACTGAAGTGGCACTGCATGTCACTTCCCTAACTCAACTGAAAAAGCAGACAAAAACCTAGCGTTTTCTACCCTCAAGCCAGCAAGAAACACAGTCCAGGTAAGCTCGTTTCTTCCCCAGTGGAGCGGGAGTCTATCCAACAAGAGGCAACCATTCTGCTATGATCTTAGAGTAGAACTGTTCAGAAGTTTGCTAACAATAAGCAGCCAACATAGACACATTCTTTCTCTAGTAAATCTAAAATTCCCTTTTTCCCCAGAGGCACTGGGGTGCCTGAGGGGCATGTAGCAAAAGTGACCCCAGCCACACCACGCAAACTAGCCAGGAAACCTTTTTGTCTTCACAGATCTGAGAGTCCCTGAGAACCCAGAGACAACACAGAGGCAGCAGGACATGAACAGGAGAGTCCCGGCATCAGTTCCTGGCCATAGAATCCCTCCTGAGCAGCAGGCAGGACAGAACCCCTTTCAGCAATCAGCCTGCCGGAGAAGCCTCTGCCCCTGTGGTGTGAGGATCCACTTCCCCCAGGTGACACCATGGGCAGGTGGGCTGAAGAAGTGGGAAGGCCAAATCGACTGGCCCAGGAGGATGCCTCTTTGATGATACAGGTGACACAGGTCTAAGCCTCCCTTCTTCCACAGGAGAAACTAGGTGGCCCAGAGGCTGCCCAGAGGTAGGGGATCTGCCACAGCAGCCACCCTCCTGGGAGGTTCCCTTTCTTCTCCTTGATGAACTCCCTCCAACACACACCTTCCCAGGAAAGCACCCTTTATCTTGCATGGGAAGGGGATCCCACCACACCAAAACCCAGCCAAAGAAGCCTTTTGTTCCTTAAGGGATAAGTTATCAAAACAAACACAAGCAAAAAGACACACAACTAGTCACCCCCTAAATTCTGTTAAGAATGAGACAATGCTGCCACTCACT
This sequence comes from Homo sapiens, assembly GCF_000001405.40. Taxonomy (NCBI): domain Eukaryota; kingdom Metazoa; phylum Chordata; class Mammalia; order Primates; family Hominidae; genus Homo; species Homo sapiens. The sequence continues at coordinate 177,809,830 of NC_000005.10, read as the reverse complement.
CCTGGCTCAGGCACCAGCAGGAGGAGGACACCCTCCAGAAACTGCAGAAGAAAGGGGAGGACTCCTCCTTGCCCTGGCTGCACCTCCACCACTGTCACTGAGGCCTGCAGTACAGAACCAGCAGCTTCCTACACACCCCAGGCCAGGCCAGGCCCCAAAGCTCTCCTACTCCCCCTTCCCGGCCCCCAGACTTGCTGCTGTTACCACTATTACCGCCGATGCCAACACAACCAGTGCTTCTGTCACCTTCCATGCACCCACCCACCCTCCAGGGCTCCTTCCACCTGGCCTCCACGGGCACCCTCCTACCATTCCTGTCGAGCTGCAGTCTCCATCGCTGTCGCTGCCACAACCACAGGAAGTGAGCCACAGAGCCACGCCATCTACAGGCTCCAACCTCCAGCTCACCACAGGTGACTCCTACTTCACCAGCCTGGCTTGGAACAGCTGGAGAGGAAAAGCCAGAAAAACCTACAACGGGATGCAGAAAGTGGTAGTGTTAAAGCCTCGCCTTGTCATGCTGGCCACTGGGTGGCAGCGGCCAGTTTCAGCAAAGGCATTCACACTCACCTGCCAAAGTCCAGCCTCTCCTCCTGGCCCAAGCTGGCCTCCTGACCTGGGGTGGGGACTGGAGACACCACAGTGCCCGACACTCCCTGGGGAGCAGGAACAGCAGAAACTCACACTCAGCCAGTACTCCCCACCCAAGTACTGGTTCCCATTCCTGACTCCTCCACCCACAGGCCCTGAGCCCCCGTGGTGCCCACTACTCCTGCTCCATGCCTGGGGGTCCCAGATGGTCTCCACAACATGGAGCGAGAGGGCAAGGGCTGGGGAACCACAGTGGGTGTGGGGGCCCTGCCATGCTTAGAGGATTGGCATGAAAACTCTGTGCGCCCGCCACACTCCCACACAAGCAGGAGGAGTTCTCTCTCTAGAGCCCTGAGTCTGAGAAAAGAAGAAGGTCCCCTTCCTCAGAGGCAACCGTTGTCCCGGCCACCTCCACAACCTGCCTCTGGTGGCAGCAGTGCAGACCCCGATAGCGCCCCTAACCTGGCCCCCGCTGCCGGCAATGCAGCCCCCGGATTGCACCCACAACACACCCAGAGACTACTGTAGTAGGCAATGTAACCCCAATAGTGCCCCCAAACCACCACTCTGCCCCCAGCAGTGTAGCATTTGATGGTGTCCACAGCCCGTCCCGCTACCGGCATTGCAGCACCTGACAGCGCCCCAAACCAGCCCCCCACCAGGGCCACAGGCAGCACAGCCCTGGATAGCGCCCCCAACCTGCTCCCATCGTGGGCAGTGAATGCCCGGGATAGTGCACCCAACCAAACCCCCCACCCCACCTTCCCCTTTCCCCCTTCCCCCACAAGCACTGCAGCATTTGACAGCTCCCCTAAACCTCCCCCGACTGCCGGCCCACATTGTTGCTGGCATTGTAGCCCAGGATAGCACACCCAACCTGCCCCCTGCCTCTGGCAGTGCAGCAAATAACACCCCTAACCTGCCCCCATGAGCCGCTGGCTGTGCACAATAGCGCACACAACCTGCCTCCGACCCCTCGACCTTGGGCACTGTAGGCCCTGATAACTCAGCCAACCTGCCCCCCACCCCCACAGCAATGCAATGCCAGATAGCACCCCCACCAGCCCCTCCCTAACTCCGCGGCAGGCACTGCAGCCTCAACAGCTTACCAAATATGCCTCCCCAACCCCCTGCAGGAGGGCAGTGCAGCCGCAAAGAGTGCACCTACCCGGCAAACTTTCTACCACTCTAACAGACCTGCAGTCTCGGTCGCCACCACCAACCGCAGCCAGAGGAGCCTCGGTGGCCGAGGCTCCAGCCTCCAGCGTGGAGCAGAGGGCCCCCCTTCTTCTAGACCGCTAGCCAGTCAAGAGCAGCTCCCGCTGCCATCCTCCCTTCTACCACTCTGGCCGTGCTGCCCGCTGTCTCTGTCACCACCGCCAACTGTAGCGAGGCGAGCCACAGTGTTGCAGGCTCCAGCATCCAGCTCCCCCTTCTCTTGATCTGCTGAGCTGGGAACAGAGTAGCTCCGCCGGCCGATTTAGGAAAGCCTAGGATGGCGTGAGGCCTCCTCAGCATGCACATGGGGTTATGCACAAGGATTCTGAACTACATGTTCTGATTGGATGAGAGAAAACCTCTAGGCCTTCTCTGATTGGACTTTATTTCATACGCTGACTGGTTGTCCTAAGACTTGCTCTCATCCAATCAGAACATGCTAACAAAGTCCAATCAGAGTAGGCCTCTGCGTTTTCTCTTACCCAATCCTGGAACATGTAATCCAGGAACCTCATATGCATAACCTCAGTATATAAATGGTGCCGAAGGGGAGTCAGGCCGTTCTAGGCTCATGCGTGTCTGCGCGCGGGGCTGCTCCGTTCCCGGCTTAGAGGACCAGGACAAGGGCTAGCCACCGCTGCATGCTGGAGGCTGTGGCTGCGGCACCACAGCTCGCCTCGCTGCGGTTGGTGGCAGCGACGGAGACTGCAGTGTGGCTGGAGCGGTAGGAAGGGGAAAATAGTTTTGGGGTAGATGGAGGAGTAAAGAGGGTGGTTAGTGCCAAAGGGAAAAGAGGATGGCGAGCAGGAGAAGGTGTTGCAAAAAGACAGTGAGGAAAAGATGGTGGGGAAAAAATGTTGGGGGTAGGTGGAGGGGGAAAAACGGTGGTGAACAGGAGGGAGAGAAAGTTTTGCAGAAAGATGGTGGGGAAAAAGTTTTTGGGTAGATGGAAGGGGGAAAGAGAGGGTGGTGGGGGGAACGGGGGTGAGCAGGAGGGAGAGAAAGTTTGCAAAAATACAGTTGGGAAAAAAAGAAAGGGAAAGAAGAGGGTGGATAAAAAGATTTTGAGTAGATGGAGCGGGGAAAAGGGGTGGCAAGTGGGAGGAGAAAAGAGGGTGCAGAGAGGGAGGGGGAGGAGAGAGTGGCGAGCAGGAGGGAGAGAAGGTTTTGTGAAAAGGCAGTGAGGAGAGAAGCTTTTAAGTAGATGAAGGGGAAAAGAGGGTGGCAAGCGGGAGAAAGATAAAGAGGGTGGCGAGCAGGGAGAAAAGGTTTTGGGAAAAACCGGTGGGCAGAAAAGAAAGTGCAGAAAGAAAACACGGTGGGTAGAAAGTGGGTAAATGGAGGGGGAAAAGAGGGTGGCAAGTGAGAGGAGAATAGAAGGTGCCCAGGGGGAGTGGGGAGAGTTGGGAAAAAGATGATAGGGAAAATAGTTTGGGGTAGATGGAGGGCAAAAAGAGGGTGGCAAACAGGATAGAGGAAAGAAGAGGGTGAGCGGGAAGCAGGGAAGGCCTTTGTGAAAAGACGGTGGGGGAAAATTGGGGAGGTAGATGGGTAAACGAGGGTGGTAAGGAGGAGTAGGAAGGCGGCTTTGCAAAAAGATGGCTGGGATGTTTTTGGGTAGATGGAGAAGGGAAAGAGGATGGCAAGGAGGAAAGGAGAAAAAGACGATGGGGAAACAGTTTTTGGGTAGATGGAGGGGGAAGGAGGGTGGCAAGCAGCAGGAGTGGAGAGAAGGCTTTGGGAAGAGATGGGAGAAAATGTATTTGGGGAGATGAAGGAACAAAAGAGGGTGATGAGAGCCGGAGGGGCAAAAAAGGGTGGCCAGGGAGAGGGAGAAAAGACGGTGGGGAAAAGTTTTTGGGTAGATGGGTGGGGAAAACAGTAGTGAGCGGGTGAGTAGAGAAGGCTTTGCGAAAAGATGGTGGGGGAAAAAGTTTTGGGGTAGATGGAGGAAGAAAAAGTGTGGCGAAAGAGAGGGGGCCAAAGGTCGTCGGGAAAAAAAGATGGGGAAATAATGGTGGGGGACAAAGGTTTTGAGTAGATCTTTTTCTGATTTTTAAATCAGATTATTTGTATTTTTGCTTTTGAGTAGCTTCAGTTCTTTATATGTTTTGTGTATTAACCCTTTGCCTGATGTATAGTTTGCAAATACTTCCATTGTCTGGTTTGTTTCTTCATTCTATTGATTGCTTCCTCTGCTTTGCAGAAGCTTTTAAGTTTAATGTAATTGCATTTCTCTATTTTGGCTTTTGTTGCTTGTGCTTTTGATGTCTGTTTCAAAATCCCTTGTCCTAACCAATTCCATGAAGTATTTATCCTATGTCATCTTCTCTAGTAGTTTCATAGTTTCAGGTTCTACATGTCAATCTTTGAGTAGATTTTTGTATATGGTAAGATAAAGATCTAAATTTATTCTCCTACGTGTGGGTGTTGTGTTTTCCTAGCGTTTACTGAAGAGATTGTCCTTCTCAAAGGTGTGTTCTTGGTGCCTTTGTTAAAAATGAGTTGACTGTAAATGCGTGAATTTATTTCTGAGTTCTCTACACTGTTTCATTTGTCTTTGTCTCTGTCATTCATCTATGTCTGTCTGTCTCTGTCTCTCCTTGCCCCTTTTTTTGCCAGTTCCATGGTATTTTGGTAGTATATTTTGAAACCAGGTATTGTGATGCCTCCAGCTTTTTTCTTTTTATTCAATATTATTTTATCTGAGGTATTTTGCATTTCCATGTGAATTTTAGAATTTTTTTTCTATTTCTATGAAGAATGTGTTTTGTAATTTAACGTGGATTGCATTGATTCTGTAGCTCACATTGGGTGATACAGATATTTTACCAATATTCTTCTAGTGTTTGGACATGGGATATCTGTCCATTTACATGTGTCTGCTTTAATATTTTTCATCTATGTTTTATAATTTTGTTGTGGGATCTTTAACCTTTTTGGTTATCTCTAGGTATTTTTTTGTTGGTAGCAGTAATGAAATAGCTTTCTTGATTTCTTTCTTAGGTGTTTCACTATTGGCGCATGCGTGTGCTACTCATTTTTGTATATTGATATTGTGTCTAGTAACTTTACTATATTTATTGTTTCTAGTAGGTTTTGTTGTATAATCTCTAGGATTCTCTCCATATGTGAAAGATCATGTCACTTGCAAACAGAGACAATTTGAATTCCTTTTTTCCCATTTGGATGCTTTTTATTGCATTCTCCTGTCTAATTGCTCTAGCTCAGACTTCCAGTACTATGATGAATAAAAGTGGTAAAAGTAGCCACACTTGGGCCAGGCGCAGTGGCTCATGCCTGTAATCCCAGCAACTTTGGGAGGCCGAGGTGGGCGGATCACGAGGTCAGGAGATCAAGACCATCCTGGCTAACAGAGTGAAACCCCGTCTCTACTAAAAATACAAAAAAAAAAAAAAAAAAATAGCTGGGCGTGGTGGCAGGCGCCTGTAGTCCCAGCTACTCAGGAGGCTGAGGCAGGAGAATGGCGTGAACCTGGGAGGTAGAGCTTGCAGTGAGCTGAGATCGCGCCACTGCACTCCAGCCTGGGTGACAGAGCAAGACTCCATCTCAAAAAAAAAAGTAGCCACACTTGTTCCAGATCTTAGAGGAAGAGCTTTTAACTTTTTCCCATTGTTTATGATGTTAGCTGTGTTTTTGTCATATATGGCCTTTATTTTGCTGAGATATGTTTTTTTCTGTACTCATTTTGTTGAATTTTTATTATGAAGGAATGTTTAATTTTTTTCAGCATCTACCGAAATGATTATATGGTTTTTTTTTTGATTCACTGAATGTGGTGTAGCACATTTATTTATTTGTGTTTATTGAATCATCCTCATATTCCTGGGATGAATCCCACTTGATTATGGCAGATGATATTTTTATTGTCTTGTCAAATGCATTTTTCAAGTATTTTGCTGAGGATTTTTGCATCTGTGTTCATCAGGAGTGTTTCCCTGTGGTTTTCTTTTTGTGTTGTGTTTTGGTCTGCTTTTTGTACCAAGGTAATTCTGGCCTCATAGAACAAGTTTGGAAGCATTCCTTCCTCTTCATTCTTTGGGGGAATGTTTTGGTAAAATTGGTATTAGCTCTTTTAAAACATTTGGTTGAATTCAGCAGTAAAACCATGATTCTTGTGGGTTTCTTTGACAGGAGACTTTTTATTACTGCTTTAATTGCATTACTCATTATTGGTCTGTTCAGGTTTCTTATTTTCCTATCATTCTATCCACACCAGCCCAGGTATGCAGAGGAGGTCCCAGCAAGTGGCCACGCCAGCTGCTGCCCTTCTCCCCTGGCCATTGACACATCTGGTTCACCTCAGCATCCCTAGGTGTTATGAGGAGGGCAGAGTGTAGCCAGCCCTGGCCTGGGAATGCACCAACACGGGGTCCCTGGTGAGTCCAGAGCTGGGGCTGCAGCTAGAACTTCAGGGCAAGAGAGACCCCATGCCCTTCACTTCCTGGTCCCGGTCCTGAGGTTCCAGGAATGGGATCAGAGTGGGCACCCGTGAGAAGCTGGTGGCATGGGAGGGCTGTGCGTTCTGCTGAGGCACTGTGTCCCCACTGCTGTGCTGTCTGACAGGCCCCTGTCTCTCTTCTTGCTCCTGGGTGATAGCTGTGGTCATGGACATGTTCACCCATGTGGACATCTTCAAAGACCTGCTGGACGCCGGCTTCAAGAGGAAAGCAGCTTTGTACATCATCGTGGACGAGAGTAAAGTCAAGTACGTTCTGCATATGTGTGAGCGGACCCGCATGCACCTGGGGCACCTCAAGGTGAGCAGGCTCCTCACTTGCCTACGTGGCCAGATGGCAGGGGTCATTCAGTTTGTCAAACACCTCGAGTACCTGCCTGCTCTGGACGGAGTCCTGTGCCAGGCACTCAGAGTCCAGTAATCCTAGAGCCTCTGCTTGAATTCCCTGAGGGACAGGATACTTGCCATGTCTGATGGGACAGAGATAAGATAAACATTGATGAGGTGCTTGCTGACCAGGTGCTGGAGCTCATGCCGAGTGCTGCATCATATGTTATTTCAGAGCAGCCCATGCCACATTGGTTACCTGTCTGCTTGCATACCCCTGGTCATAGTGTGCTCACTATGTCCTCAGGTAGCTCGTGGCCTATCTGGAGAGATTCAGTTCCCAGGAAGTCTTTCTTGGGTTAAGCCAAAACCTGTCTCCTTAGAATGTCCATTTACTGGTTTTAGGATCTGGCTCAGACAGAAGCAGCTCTCCCTCAGGCTGAGGCCAGGGAAGGCTTCCTTGATGTCTGCACAGTTGAAGTGGATTTGAGGCACATGAGCAGAGTAGAACCTTTAGGGTGGGGAGAAAGCACGGAACAGAGGTGAATCAGAGATGGCTGCCAGTGGGATCAAGGTGGGCTGCAGGTCCCCAGCGCTGCTTTTCTGTGTGTCCCTGGGCCTGTCACCTCCCCTTTCTGGGCTATACAACATCTCATTGCTCCAACTCTGTTCTGCCCAGACACCCTGGCATTTGGTGTCTGGCTAATTTTTTTTTTTTTTTTTTTTTTGAGACCGAGTCTTGCTCTGTCACCTAGGTTGGAGTGCAGTGGTGCGATCTCGGCTCACTGCAACCGCTGCCTCCTGGGTTCAAGCAATTCTCCTGCCTCAGCCTCCCAAGCAGCTGGGACTACAGGCGCACACCACTATGCCCAACTACTTTTTGTATTTTCTGTAGATACGGGGTTTCACCATATTGGCCAGGCTGGTCTCGAGCTCCGGACCTCGTGATCCACTTGCCTCGGCCTCCCAAAGTGCTGGGATTACAAGCGTGAGCCACCGCACCCAGCTAGTGTCTGGCTAATTTTTTTGTATTTCTAGTAGAGACAAGAGTTTCACCATGTTGGGCAGGCTGGTTTCGAACTCCTGACCTTGTGATCCATCCACCTTGGTCTCCGAAAGTGCTGGGATTACAGGTGTAAGCCACCGTGCCCAGTTTTAAATAAATAAAAGCCAGTTTTAAAACTGAAAAAACAGCTTTGAAATTGAGGGCTGCATTTTACAGAGAATATTTTCCAGCATGTGCAATCTAACATAGTAGCACTATACTCCTCACTTAAACAGACTAGCTTTTATAATGAATGATTTTGTTTTAAAATGTGAGTAACAGCACACCAGGGGCTATGACAGCATGATCGCTTCGTTAACATCTCTGTCTAATACCGTAGTCCCACGTAAGCTGCATTTGGCTTTCACGGTTTCACTTACCTACAGGCAATCCTGGTCTGAAAACATTAAATGAAAAATCCACAGATAAACAACTGACAAGTTTTAACTTGCTGTGCTGTTCCAAGTAGTGTGGTGGGAGCTCCTGTCATCCCCCTCTACTCAAGGCCCACCCAGGACGTGAATCATCTCTGCCCACAACATCCACCTGTCTACCTTCCCACTTGTTAGTCACTTAGCAGCTCTCTGGGTCGTCAAATTCTCTGTTGAGATATCACGGTGTTTGTGTTCAAAGAAATCTTGTTTTACTTAATGGCCCCAAAGTGCAAAAGTACTGATGCTGGCAATTCAAAAATGCCAAAGAGAAGCCATAAAGTGTTCCTTTTAAGTGAAAAGGTGAAAGTTAATCATAGGGCATGCATGTGTAGAAACAAAGATAATCTATATTGGATTTAGTACTATCTGTGGTTTCAGGCATCCTCTGAAGATCTTGAAATGTATCCCCTATGGATAAAGGAGGACTACTATATTCTCAATGGATTTTGCAAGAAGAAAATTAATCATTCACAAAATATTTTAACCTTAGAATTTAAATAAATGTGTATATTCTCTACAAGTTAAACACAAATATTGTAATAACCTATGGCCACTTTTTCTTATTTTTATGCCATTTGAGTAATGACTGGTATTGATTTGCTGAGGTTCAAATTTCGAATTCTAGTTTTTCTTAAACATGACTTATATTAATAAGAATATGTTCAACTCTGGTGTGCTTTATCAGTCAAAAACACAAATTAATTATGCAGAGAATGTTATTTTCTTTTTTGAGATGGAGTCTCCCTCTGTCACCCCGGCTGGAGTGCAGTAGCGCAATCTTGGCTCACTGCAAACTCCACCTCCCGGATTCAAGTGATTCTACTGCCTCAGCCACCCAAGTAGCTGGGATTACAGGCATGCCCCACAATGCCTGGCTAACTTTTCTATTTTTATAAAATCTAAAACCTGGGACCTGGTATAAGGCCTGGGTATCCACCCGGGGCTTGATTTTAGCAGGGGCCTGAAGTTCTTCTAGCAACTGGTGTCCACCTGAGGCCTGGGTGTCAGCCTGGGACCAGATGTCCAGCTGGGGCCTGAGTGTTTCTCGGTGCCTGAGGACGTTCTGGGCCCGGATGTCCACGTGGGACCTAGATGTGTACCTGGGGTCTAATGTTCACCAGGAGCCAAGGTATCTCCCTGGGGCCTATGTCCACCCAGGACCCGATGTCCGTTTGGAGTCAAGTGTCGTCCACCTGGGGCCCAGGTGTCCTTCAGGAGCCTGGTTTTGACCTGGGGCCTCAGTGAACACTTGGGACCTGATGTCCACCCGGTTCCTAGGTATCCTCCTGAGGCCTGGTGTGCTGCTGAGGCCTGGTTTCGGCCTGGTTTCTACCTGGGGTATGGGTGTCCACCTGGTTACTGTTGCTTACCTAAGACCTGTTGTCCACCTTGGACCTCTTGATCCTCTGGGGCCTTGTGTCCACCTGTGCCCGGGTGTCAGCTTGGTACCTGATACCTACTTGGGGCCTCCACAGCCACCTGGGGCCTTGTGGTCCCTTGAAGCCTGAAGTCCTGGGTATAGGTATCCACCTGGGTCCTGGGTGTCCACTTGGGGCCACATGTCCAGCTCTGGTCTGAGTGTCCCCATGGGGCCTGATACGCACCAGGGGCCTAGGCATGTACTTGATGCCTGGTGTCCATATGGAGCGTGCTGTCCCATGAGGATTGATACTCAGATGGGGCCTGGTATCCACTTCGGGCCTATTGTACTCCTGGAGTCTGATACCCATCCTCTGCCTGCTGCCTACATAGGGCCTCATGCTCCCCTTGAGCCTGGATGTCCACCTGAGTCCTTGGTATTCTCTGTGGGATGGCTGTCCACCTGTGACTTTGTGTCCAGCTATGGCCTGGGTGGGAGCCTGGTGCTTGATGGACACCTTGAGTCCGTGTGCACCTGGGGCCTTATGTCTATCTGGGGACTAGTGTCTACTTGGAGCTGATGTCTATATAGGGACCATGTGCTTATCCAGGACCCGATGTCCATCTGGAATCAGATGTTCCCTTGGGGTCAGGGTGTCCGTCTGGGGCCTAATTCTCACCAGGGACCTGCTGTTCACCAGGAGCCTAGGCATCCACCTGTGGCCTGCTGTCCACTTGGGGCCCCCTGTTCACCTTGGCCCTGATACTTACTTGGGGCCTGGACATCCACTTGGAGCCTGGGGTTCAAGTGGCGCCTGGTGTTCCTCCAAGATGCCTGATGTCCATCTGTGGCCAGGTTTCCACCTGGGGCCTGGTATGTACCTGGGGCCTCGGGTCCACCTGGGGCCTGGTATTTACCTGAGGCCTGGGCGTTCACCTGGGGCCTGATGTCTAGCTGGGGCCTCATATCCACCTGGGGCCTCCACGCCAAACTGCGACCTGATGTCCAGCGGAGGCCTGATGTCCATGCAGGAACTGGAGTCCCTCTGGGACCTGTTGTCCACCCGGGGCCTGGTGTCCAACGTCCACCTTGAGTCCAGTGTGCACTTGGGGCCCGACGTTTTCCTGGGGCCTTTGTGTCCGCTGGGGCCTTATGCCCACCTGGAGGGGGTGTGTCCCACGCACCCGCCCTTGTCCTGGGGAGAGTGTGTAGAGAGTTGCTCTGGCCCTGCCCCTTGTCATCTGGGAATTGCCCCTCCTGCCAACGCGGTGGGGAAGGTGTCATCTTGACTCAGGTGGGTGCTGGGTTTCAAACTGGGGCCTTATATTTACCTGGGGACTGCTGTCCATGTGGGGCCTGGTGTCCACGTAGGTGCTGGGTATTCACCTGGAGCCTCACGTCCACCTGGGGTCAAAAGTGTTCACCTGGGGCCCGACGTTACCTAGCACAGGCGTTGCACAGAATACACACAGACTGGAAAGGAAGAAGGAATGGAAACGTGGGACCTACGTATTCAGTATAAGAAAAGTGAAAATAGCAACCAGGAAAGAACACAAAGAAAGTACGAGAAGGATGGTATGAAGAAGACACAAACCAACCTAGGCCCAGTTTCCTAAGAAACACTGGAAACCACACTGAAATGAAATGTCAGACGGAATCAAGCCATCTCTGGATTTTCCCCTGTGGGCCGCTCAGTGTCAGCGGGGATGGGAGCAACTGTGGGCCGCTCAGTGTCAGCGGGGATGGGAGCAACTGGGACTCTCCTACATCACTCTTAGGGCTAGAAATTGCTAAGGCCGCCCCGAAAACATCCTACTCACTTTTCAGAAAATCACAACTTGCAAAGTACAGCAAAACCAAGGAAGGCCAAGAGCTTACCTTGGAGAAAGTTCTCGCAGCCCTGGGCGCCACCGGCTGGCTGGTTCTGGGGTCGCTTTGCCAGCAGGCAGCCTTTTCTCAGCTGCCTTTCTTCGCATCAGGTGGCGGCGGCTGATGGCCCGTGTGGCCTTTGCCCTTGAGGATTAGCCCAGCAGGTTGACTTAGGCCTGGAGCAGTGGTAAGGGCAGCGTTCTCTGGCGCTGCCCTTTTCCTGTTGGCAGCAGGATGGGGCGAAGCTCCAGGGCCCCAATTCCAGCACCTGATTTGGAAGCATCCAGCGGCCTGTGGCACGACGGCGGTGGAGGCGAGCCTGAGCGACTGCAGCTGCATCTCTGTTCCCAGTGCCATCTCCAGATCTTCATGCCCTGAGCAGTGACCTGGGCCAAGAAGTCACTTTCCTGGATGGTGTCTTCAGGAGGGCATGTTCCTGAACCGTGAGGGGTGGGTGTTCAGCAACTCTCCACAAACTTTTCCCAGGAATTGGGCGAGGTGCATTGTGCCACAGCCCTTTTTGGGTAGGCATAAGGCCCCACGTGGACACCCAGGCCTCAGTCAATATTCAGGAGCAAAGTGGAGACCTAGGCTCCAGGCAAACATCAGGCCTCAAGTGGACAGTCCCAGGTGAACATTGGACATCCAACACCAGATTGACGCTATGTCTTAGGTGTATGCCAGTTCCCAGGTGGACTCCAGTTTCCAAATGGACATCAGGCACCAGGCGGACATCAGGTTCCCAGTTGACAAATAGGTTCCAGATGGACACCAGGCCCCAGGTGATGCCTAGGCCCCACGTTGACACCTGGGCCCCAGGTAGACATGAGGCCCCACGTGGATAGTTATGTTCCTGGTGAACATTAGGCCCCAAATGGACACTCTGGTTCCAGGTGGATATATGGCCTCAGGGGGCCATCGGGTCCCAGGTGCACACTGGACTTGACGTATACATCAGGCACGAGGTTTACACCCAGGCCCCAGGTGCACTGAATGTCACAGATGGACTTCAGGCCCAAGGAGGATACCAAGGCTTCAGGCGGACACCCAGGCCTCACGTGGATATCAGGTCTTAGGTGAAACTCAGGCTCTAGTTGGATACCGAGTCTTCAAGTGGACATAACAATGCCCCAGGTGGAACCCAGGCTTTAGATGGATACCAGGCTCCAGGTGGACATTAGGCCCCAGGGTGACACCAAGGCTCCACGTGGACAGTAAGCCCCAGGTGAGCCCCAGACCTCAGGTGGACATCAGGCCCTAATGGATGCCCACACTGCAGGTTGACATCAGGCCTCAGGAGGGCACCAGCCCTCAAGTGACCACCAGGTCCCAGGTGGCTGTGTAGGTCCCAGGTGGATATCAGACATCAGGATGACTCTCAGGGCCCAGGTGAATGCCAGGCCACAGATGAACAGCAGGTCCAAGGGGTGGACACAGGCCCCCGGTGAACACAAGTTCCCAGATGTATACCCAGCCTGATGTGCACCTGCAGACCAGAGTTCACGTAGGGTCTGATTTCTCCCTGGGGCCTGGGTGTTTTCCTGGGACCTATAACCTGCCTGGGGTCTGGTGTTTACCTAGGGATGGGTATCCACCCTGGGTCTGATGTCCGCCTGGGGCCTGGTATCCATCTGGGGCCTGGGTGTCACCCTGGGGCCTTCTGTTGATCTAGGGCCCGATTTCCATCCTGAGACTGGGTGTCCACCTGGAGTCTGTGTCCCCATGTGACTTGGTGTCCAACTGGGACATTGGACACCGGTAAACACCAGGCCCCGTGTGGATTACTGTGGTACACCTGATGTACAGCTTGAATCCAGTGTCCACTTGGTCCTGATGGCTACCTTAGGCCTGTTGTTCACCTGGGGCCAGGCGTTGTGCTGGGCCCTAATGTCCACTAGGAGCCTGGTGTTTACCAGGGGGTCTCGACTCCCACCTGGGGCCTGGGTGTTTCCATGGGATCTGATACCCTTCTGTGGCTTTGGTTTCCATCTGTGGCCTGATGTTCACCTGGCATCTAGGTACCCATGTGAGGCCTGGTGTCACCCTGGGACCTGACGTTCACCTGGAGCCTGGTGTCAACTTGGGGCATGGGTGTTCACCTGGGGCCTAGTAGTTTACATGTGCCTTCATGTTTACTGAGTTCTTAAGTGTCAACTTGTGTCTTGATTTCTACCATGAGCCTGGTGTCCACCTGGAGCCTGGGTGTCACCCTAGGGCCTGAAGTCCTGGGGACTAGCTGTCCAATTGGAGCCTAGGTATCCACCTGGGTCTGAATTTCGCCTGGGGTCTGATGTCCATTTGGAGTGAAGTTTTCACTTGAGTCCTCATGTAAACCTGGGGCCTGGGTGTCAACCTTGAGCCTGATGTTCACCTGTGGTCCTGTGTCCACATTGGGACTGATTATTCACCTGGTGCCACGTGTGCACGTGGGGCCTGAGGGTTCACCTGGCTCATGCCCACCTGGGACCTTATGAGTTCCTGGGGCCTAGGTATACTCCCTAGGCCAGGTGCCCACCTGGGTTCTCATATCCACGTTGGGCTTTGTGTTCACTTGAGGCGTGGTATTCTTCTGGGGGTGGGTGTTCACCTGCGACCTCATACCTACTTGGGGCTTGGGTATCCTCCTGGGGCCTGATATTCCCCTATGACCTGGGGTGCAACTGGGGCCTGGGTGTCAGCCTGGCAGCTGAGTTCAGTGTCCACTTGGGGCCTGGTATTTAGCTGAGGCCTGACACCCACCTGAGGCCTGGGTGTTTAGGTGTGGTCTGTTATCTTTCTGTTGCCTGGGTTTTTATCAGGAGCCTGATGTTCACCAGGCCACCTAGGTGTCCACCTGGACCAAATGTCTCTCTGGGCCCTGATGTTCACTTGTTGTCTGGTATTTACCAAGAGCTTGGGCATCCACCTGTTGACTGATGTTCAGCTGGGGCATAGATATTCACCTGGGGCCCGAGGGTACACCTGGTGCCTGACGTCTGCCCGGGTCCTAGTAATCCACATGGGCCTGGTGTTTACCAGAAGCCTAATGTTCACCCTGGGCCTCATGTTTACCTGGAGCCTTGGTGTCAACCTGGGGCCAGATATCGACTGGGGGCCTAGTATCCACCTGGAGATGGGATGTCCAGCTGGGTTCTGATGTCCACCTAGGATTGTCCTCATGTGTGGTGGATGAAATTTAGGGCCTGGTGGTGAAATTTAAAAGAGAGCCTTAAAAGCTGTCGAGCCAAGTGAAGCAAGCAGAGGAAGGTCATTCCATTCCGTCAATGAGAAGAATGTGAGCCCAGTGATGGAGCCATGAACAGCTCAGCATGTGTTGGGATCTGCAAGAGGGAGGTAAGTTGTGGGTGCACTGGAATACCAGACCAGGGACGGGAGGATGCTTTTCAAGCTGCCTTTCGCTTTTTCCTCGAATGTCATAGGAAGTCAGACTTATTCTTTGTAGGTCAGAGTTGAATGTTACCTAATATCAACGTTTGCAGGAAATGAAGTGGAAACACTTTTCTTAGATAGAAGAGATAGCACTTGCAAAAATTTAGAAATGTGAGGGAACATAAATTGGAAATAATTTTGTTTTTAAAACAAGTAGTTAATAATACTTTACTTTCTATTTATTTATTTATTTATTTATTTATTTTTTGGAGACAGTCTTGCTCTGTCGCCCATGCTGGAATGCAGTGTTGTGATCTCGGTTCACTGCAACCCCTACCTCCCAGGTTCAAGCGATTCTCTGCCTCAGCCTCCTGGGTAGCTGGGATTACAGGCACGCACCACCGAGCCTGGCTAATTTTTTTGTATTTTTAGTAGAGACACGGGGTCTTGCCACGCTGCCCAGGCTGGTCTCAAATTCCAGAGCACAATGTGATCCTCCCACCTTGGCCTCCCAAAGTGCTGGGATTACAGCCAGGAGTCACTGCACCCAGCCAGGATGTTTATTTTTTAACCTTCTATTTGTCTGATGTCTGGGCTCTATGGGGAGTGGCAAGGGAAAGTGGTATACATTTAATGACACAGAGGAGACTTTGACCTAAATGGTGAGACCCTGAAATGTGAATGCTTTGGAGGAGAATATAGATCAGAAGTTTATGATCAAAGTAATTATTTACAAATAGATATTTTCCATTAGTTTATTTTTAATTTACAGTTCTATATAACATTGGAAGTAATATTCTTTATGTACAACTACAATAGATTTTATCCTTTTTCTAACACTTCTGTTCTAGTTACAGAACCATGAATGACCTCTTTGATAACTGGAATGAAAATGTTGTAGCTGCTTTTAAGATTTTTTAAAGATAATTCTTTACGACAGCCTTGGGGGGGTGCATGTTGGTGTGAGAGAGGAGTAAGTTAAGGGGATGATATGAATATCAAAGAGAAACTAATGAATAAAGAAGTCCAACCTTAAGATTAGTTTCAGCAGAAGTAATTTTCCACCAAAATTTCAGATTACCTTTTCACTTATATAGGAGTGTGATTAATTAGGGAAGACATTTGTAACACTTGCACTTTTAAAACCATATTTATTATGCAGCATTGCAAAGCAGTCTTTCCTTCCACAGCCCCCAGTCCCAGAACAAAAAAAGTATGAGGGAAAGTACCTCAGAAAACCCAGTCAGAATATGCTATATTTGAAAATAGCCATTTTGTGGAGACCTTAGCAGAAATTTGGCCTTGAAGTCATCTGGGGGCATTTTAAAATTCTTACCTGTGTTAGATTCACTAGTTCAGATGTTGATACCATACTACCATAGCCATGCATGTAATGGTGGTAAGCTTTAAGGTTGAATATAGTATATTTACCGGAATTTACCTAGATTTGGCTGATCTTTGAGGAAATGTTTAGATGACGCCAGTTATGATTTCACCCTGTGCTAAAGAACATGTATATGTTTTTGCCATAGGTGTGTTTTCTTTACATTATTTATACAAATAATTTTCTATAATATCTGGGAGCAAACTGGGGAATTTGGCAGTCCAATTGGCAGGTCCCCTCAGATACCCACGGGCCGACGGCATTGGTGCCAAGTGACCAGGTTCACAGTGCAGCTTGTGGCTCCAGTCCAACTGGCAGGTGGCTCTTCCTCCACGTCCCAGCTGCCATTTTCATAAAACAATCCGTGGTGTCCCGCTCGGAGACTGGGTTCCTGGCTCTCCCACTCGCATTGCTGTAGCAAGAGATCCATAGAACATATTTTAAAATGTTACTTGCTATTTGCTTAAATGTAGACTTTTCTAGGCTATTTCTTTTCCTTACTCCATTACTGAACAACTCCCTTACTTCCTCCTCCCCCCCAGTATCACTCCCAAGTAAGGGATTGGTTTTAGTCCCAGAACTGAAGTACCCTGAGCTCCATTCGAAGCAGTACTCTACAGAGACCCACATTTTCTTTATATTTTGCATTTAACAAGTTTAGTGAGTAGTTATTTTTGCTGAATTTATGGACCCTTTGTTTTAGATTTGCAAGACAAGAAAAACTTTTACAGACTTCGTACTTAATGTTTTATTATAATGCAGACCTGTACAGTGTTGTATGCTGAAGATACTGGAATGCCTGTGTGCTCTTCTACCGGAGAGTGTCTGATCAGAACTCTTCAGTATGACCAAAGAAACTCAAGTTAGCATTGTCCTGCAGGAAGCTGAGGATCTCTCTCTCTCTAAGTTTTTCTTCTGTATAATTTCTTCTGTGTGCTTTGAGTAGATATAGTGTGATCTTTAAAAAGATCAGGCAAGGCTAGGTGCCGTGGCTCATGCCTGTAATCCCAGAACTTTAGGAGGCCAAGGTGGGCAGATCATCAGGTCAGGAGGTCGAGATTGTCCTGGCCAACATGGTGAAACCCCGTCTCTACTAAAAAATACAAAAAAATTAGCCAGGCATGGTGGGGCACGCCTGTAGTCCCAGCTACTCGAGAGGCTGAGGCAGTGGAACTGGAGGTTGCAGTGAGCCAAAATTGTGCCACTGCACTCCAGCCTGGCAACAAAGCGAGACTCTGTCTCAAAAAACAAAACAAAACAAAAAACAAGGCAGTTCCTCAGAGAGTGGATCCAGGGTCAGAACGAAGAACTTTGTACATGGACACAACAAAATCTTTATAATATCTGACCTACAGAATTCCACTATTGCAATGGATCAGTGACTTCTGTGTTTTTTTCCCATCTTCTGTTTTCCAAATGAAAAATTTTACTGGGACTGGGAGGGTTCCAACATAGCCAAATAGGAACAGCTCCAGTCTACAGCTACTAGCATGAGAGAAGCAGAAGACGGGTGATTTCTGCATTTCCAGCTGAGGTACCGGGTTCATCTCACTGGGGCTTGTCGGACAGTGGATGCAGGACAGTGGGTGCAGTGCACTGAGCGTGAGCTGAAGCAGGGCGACGCAACACCTCGCCTGGGAAGCGGGAGGGGTCAGGGAATTCCCTTCCCTAGCCAAGCAAAGCTGTGACAGATGGCACCTGGAAAATCAGGTCACTCCCACCCTAATACTGCACTGTTCCAACACCCTTAGCAAACGGCACACCAGGAGATCATATCCCGCGCTTGGCTCAGAGGGTCCTACACCCACGGAGACTCACTCATTGCTAGCACAGCAGTCTGAGATCAAACTGCAAGGCGGCAGCGAGGCTGGGCGAGGGGCGCCTGCCATTGCTGAGGCTTGAGCAGGTAAACAAAGCATCTGGGAAGCACGAACTGGGTGGAGCCCACCGCAGCTCAAGGAGGCCTGCCTGCCTCTGTAGACTCCACCTCTGCGGGCAGGACATAGCCAAACAAAAGGCAGCAGAAACCTTTGCAGACTTAAATGTCCCTGTCTGACAGCTTTGAAGACAGCAGTGGTTCTCCCAGCACGCAGTTTGAGATCTGAGAATGGACAGACTGCCTCCTCAAGTGGGTTCCTGACCCCCGAGTAGCCTAACTGGGAGGCACCCCCAAGTAGGGGCAGACTGACACCTCACACAGCCAGGTACCCCTCTGAGACGAAACTTCCAGAGGAACAATCAAACAGCAACATTTGCTGTTCAGCAATATTTGCTGTTCTGCAGCCTCCGCTGCTGATAACCAGGCAAACGGTCTGGAGTGGACCTCCAGCAAACTCCAACAGACTTGCGGCTGAGGGTCCTGACTGTTAGAAGGAAAACTAAAAAACAGAAAGGACATCCACACCCAAACCCCATCTGTACGACACCATCATCAAAGACCAAAGGTAGATAAAACCACAAAGATGGGGGAAAAACAGCAGAAAAACTGAAATTCTAAAAATCAGAGCACCTCTCCTCCTCCAAAGGAATGCAGCTCCTCACCAGCAATGGAACAAAGCTGGATGGAGGATGACTATGACGAGTTGAGAGAAGAAGGCTTCAGATGATCAAACTTCTCCAAGCTAAAGGAGGAAGTGCAAACCCATCACAAAGAAGTTAAAAACCTTGAACGAAGATTCAGACGAATGGCTAACTAGAATAACCAATGTAGAGAAGGCCTTAAATGACCTGATGGAGCTGAAAACCATGGCATGAGAACTACGTGACAAATGCAAAAGCTTCAGTAGCCGATTTGATCAACTGGGAGAAAGGGTATCACTGATGGAAGATCAAATGAATGAAATGAAGCGAGAAGAGAAGTTTAGAGAAAAAAGAATAAAAAGAAACAAACAAAGCCTCCAAGAAATATGGGACTATGTGAAAACACCAAATCTACATGTGATTGGTGTACCTGAAAGTGACGGGGAGAATGGAACCAAGTTGGAAAACACTCTGCAGGATATTATCCAGGAGAACTTCCCCAGTCTAGCAAGGCAGGCCAACATTCAAATTCAGGAAATACAGAGAATGCCACAAAGATACTCCTTGAGAAGAGCAACTCCAAGACACATAATTGTCAGATTCACCAAAGCTGAAATGAAGGAAAAAATGTTAAGGGCAGCCAGAGAGAAAGGTCAGGTTACTCACAAAGGGAAGCCCATCAGACTAACAGCTGGTCTCTCGGCAGAAACTCTACAAGCCAGAAGAGAGTGGGGGCCAATATTCAGCATTCTTAAAGAAAAGAATTTTCAACCCAGAATTTCATATCCAGCCAAACTAAGCTTCATAAGTGAAGGAGAAATAAAATCCTTTACAGACAAGCAAATGCTGAGAGATTTTGTCACCACCAGGCCTGCCCTACAAGAGCTCCTAAAGGAAGCACTAAACATGGAAAGGAACAACCGGTACCAGCCACTGCAAAACCATGCCAAATTGTAAAGACCATCAAGGCTAGGAAGAAACTGCGTCAACTAGCGAGCAAAATAACCAGCTAACATCATAATGACAGGATCAAATTCACACATAACAATATTAACCTTAAATGTAAATGGGCTAAATGCTCCAATTAAAAGACACAGACTGGCAAATTGGATAAAGAGTCAAGACCCATCAGTGTGCTATATTCAGGAAACCCATCTCACGTGCAGAGACACACACAGGCTCAGAATAAAGGGATGGAGGAAGATCTACCAAGCAAATGGAAAACAAAAAAAGGCAGGGGTTGCAATCCTAATCTCTGATAAAACAGACTTTAAACCAACAAAGATCAAAATAGACAAAGAAGGCCATTACATAATAGTAAAGGGATCAATTCAACAAGAACAGCTAACTATCCTAAATATATATGCACCCAATACAGGAGCCCCCAGATTCATAAAGCAAGTCCTTAGAGACCTACAAAGAGACTTAGACTCCCACACAATAATAATGGGAGACTGTAACACCCCACTGTCAACATTAGACAGATGCACGAGACAGAAAGTTAACAAGGATATCCAGGAATTGAACTCAGCTCTGCACCAAGCAGACCTAATAGACATCTACAGAACTCTCCACCCCAAATCAACACAATATACGTTCTTCTCAGCACCACATCGCACTTATTCCAAAATTGACCACATAGTTGGAAGTAAAGCACTCCTCAGCAAATGTAAAAGAACAGAAGTTATAACAAACTGTCTCTCAGACCACAGTGCAATCAAACTAGAACTCAGGATTAAGAAACTCACTCAAAACCACTCAACTACATGGAAACTGAACAACCTGCTCCTGAATGACTACTGGCTACATAACAAAATGAAGGCAGAAATAAAGATCTTCTTTGAAACCAACGAGAACAAAGACACAACATACCAGAATCTCTGGGACACATTTAAAGCAGTGTGTTAGAGGGAAATTTATAGCACTAAATGCCCACAAGAGAAAGCAGGAAAGATCTAAAATTAACACCCTAACATCACAATTAAAAGAACTACAGAAGCAAGAGGAAACACATTCAAAAGCTAGCAGAAGGCGAGAAATAACTAAGATCAGAGCAGAACTGAAGGAAACAGAGACACAAAAAGCCCTTCAAAAAATCAATGAATCCAGGAGCTGGTTTTTTGAAAAGATCAACAAAATTGATAGACTGCTAGCAAGACTAACAAGAAAAGAGAGAAGAATCAAACAGAGGCAATAAAAAATGATAAAGGGGAGATCACCACCGATCCCACAGAAATACAAACTACCATCAGAGAATACTATAAACACCGCTACACAAATAAACTAGAAAATCTAGAAATGGATAAAGTCCTTGACACATACAATCTCACAAGACTAAACCAGGAGGAAGTTGAATATCTGAACAGACCAACAGGCTCTGAAATTGAGGCAATAATTAATAGCTTACCAACCAAAAAAAGTCCAGGACCAGATGGATTCACAGCCGAATTCTACCAGAGGTACAAGGAGGAGCTGGTACCATTCCTTCTGAAACTATTCCAATCAATAGAAAAAGAGAGAATCCTCCCTAATTCATTTTATGAGGCCAGCATCATCCTGATACCAAAGCCTGGCAGAGACACAACAAAAAAAGAGACTTTTAGACCCATATCCCTGATGAACATCGATGCAAAAATCCTCAATAAAATACTGGCAAACCGAATCCAGCAGCACATCAAAAAGCTTATCCAACACGATCAAGTGGGCTTCATCCCTGGGATGCAAGGCTGTTTCAACATACGCAAATCAATAAACGTAATCCAGCATATAAACAGAACCAAAGACAAAAACCCCATGATTATCTCAATAGATGCAGAAAAGGCCTTTGGCAAAATTCAACAGCCCTTCATGCTAAAAACTCTCAATAAATTAGTTATTGATGGGATGTATCTCAAAATAATAAGAGCTATGTATGACAAACCCACAGCCAATATCATACTGAATGGGCAAAAACTGGAAGCATTCCCTTTGAAAACTGGCACAAGACAGGGATGCCCTCTCTCACCACTCCTCTTCAACATAGTGTTGGAAGTTCTGGCCAGGGCAATCAGGCAGAAGGAAATAAAGCGTATTCAATTAGGAAAAGAGGAAGTCAAATTGTCCCTGTTTGCAAATGACATGATTGTATATCTAGAAAACCCCATCGTCTCAGCCCAAAATCTCCTTAAGCTGATAAGTAACTCCAGCAAAGTCTCAGGATTCAAAATCAATGTACAAAAATCACAAGCATTCTTATACACCAATAACAGACAAACAGAGAGCCAAATCATGAGTGAACTCCCATTCACAGTTGCTTCAAAGGGAATAAAATACCTAGGAATCCAACTTCCAAGGGATGTGAAGGATCTCCTCAAGGAGAACTACAAACCACTGCTCAATGAAATAAAAGAGGATATAAACAAATGGAAGAACATTCCATGCTCATGGGTAGAAAGAATATTGTGAAAATGGCCATACTGCCCAAGGTAATTTATAGATTCAATGCCATCCCCATCAAGCTACCAATGACTTTCTTCACTGAATTGGAAAAAACTACTTTAAAGTTCATATGGAACCAAAAAAGAGCCCGCATTGCCAAGTCAATCCTAAGCCAAAAGAACAAAGCTGGAGGCATCACGCTTCCTGACTTCAAACTATACTACAAGGCTACAGTAACCAAAACAGCATGGTACTGGTTCCAAAACAGAGATATAGACCAATGGAACAGAACAGAGCCCTCAGAAATAATGCCACATGTCTACAACTATCTGATCTTTGACAAACCTGACAAAAACAAGAAATGGGGAAAGGATTCTCTATATAATATATGGTGCTGGGAAAACTGGCTAGCCATATGTAGAAAGCTGAAACTGGATCCCTTCCTTACACCTTTTACAAAAATTAATTCAAGATGCATTAAAGACTTAAATGTTAGACCTAAAACCATAAAAACCCTAGAAGAAAACCTAGGCAATACCATTCAGGACATAGGCATGGGCAAGGGCTTCATGTCTAAAACACCAAAAGCAATGGCAACAAAAGCCAAAATTGACAAATGGGATCTAATTGAACTAAAGAGCTCCTTCTGCACAGCAAAAAAAACTACCGTCAGAGTGAAGAGGCAACCTACAGAATGGGAGAAAATTTTTGCAATCTACTCACCTGACTAAAGGGCTGATACCCAGAATCTACAAAGAACTCAAACAAATTTACAAGAAAAAAATCAAACAACCTCATCAAAAGTAGGCGAAGGATATGAACAGACACTTCTCAAAAGAAGACATTTATGCAGCCAACAGACACATGAAAAAATGGTCATCATCACTGGCCATCAGAGAAATGCAAATCAAAACCACGATGAGATACCATCTTACACCAGTTAGAATGGTGATCATTAAAAAGTCAGGAAACGACAGGTGCTGGAGAGGATGTGGAGAAATAGGAACACTTACACTGTTGGTGGGACTGTAAACTAGTTCAACCATTGTGGAAGAGAGAGTGGCGATTCCTCAGGGATCTAGAACTAGAAATACCATTTGACCCAGCCATTCCATTACTGAGTATATACCCAGAGGATTATAAGTCATGTTGCTATAAAGACATGCACACGTATGTTTATTGTGGCACTATTCACAATAGCAAAGACTTGGAACCAACCCAAATGTCCAACAATGATAGACTGGATTAAGAAAATGTGGCACATATACACCATGGAATACTATGCAGCCATAAAAAATGATGAGTTCATGTCCTTTGTAGGGACATGGATGAAGCTGGAAACCATCATTCTCAACAAACTCTCGGAAGGACAAAAAACCAAACACTGCATGTTCTCACTCATAGGTGGGAATTGAACAATGAGAACACATGCACACAGGAAGGGGAGCATCGCAGACCAGGGCCTGTTGTGGGGTGGGGGGAGGGATAGCATTAGGAGATATACCTAATGTAAATGATGAGTTAATGGGTGCAGCACACCAACATGGCACATGTATACATATGTAACAAACCTGCACGTTGTGCACATGTACCCTAGAACTTAAAGTATAATAAAAAATATATATATATAAATTTTATTGGGACTATTTTGATTCTACACCACTATTCTTTATTGGGTGTAACCCAGCAGGTCCACGAATAATAATAATTATTATTATTACCTTTTTTTTTGAGATGGAGTGTCACTCTTGTCACCTGGGCTAGAGTGCAGATGCGCAAAAGAGTGAGACTCTGTCTCAAAATAAATAAATAAAATAAAAACAGGAAAATACATTTGTTGACCTCCTGGGTTGTGCCCAATAAAGAATAGTGGAGTTTAATAGCGGTTCACTGCAACCTCCACCTCCCAGCTTAAAGCGATTCTTCTCCCTCAGTCTCCCAAGTAGCTGGGATTACGGCACCCACCACCATACTCAGCTAATTTTTGTATTTTTAGTAGAGACAGGGTTTCACCATGTTGGCCAGGCTGGTCTCAAACTCCTGACTTCAGGTGATCCGCCCACATTGTCCTCCCAAAGTGCTAGATTACAGGCGTGAACCACCACGTCCGGCCTAACAAATGATTTTTCATAGGTCACTGGACATCAAGGAGCCACTTGTGAACCAGGTGGAATGCAGGTGGGATGCATAGCACATGGCCCACAGGACCTGCACTGTGGGTTGGATACAGTAACGGAAGGGGCCTTTGGTCTTTCTTTTTTTTTTTTTTTTTTTGAGAGAGAGTCTTGCTCTGTTCCCCAGGCTGGAGTGCAGTGGCGTGATCTCGGCTCACTGCAAACTGCGCCTCCCGGGTTCACGCCATTCTCCTGCCTCAGCCTCCAGAGTAGCTGCTGGGACTACAGGCGCCCACCACCACGCCTGGCTAATTTTTTGTATTTTTAGTTGAGACGGGGTTTCACCGTGTTAGCCAGGATGGTTTCGATCTCCTGACCTCGTGATCCACCCGCCTCGGCCTCCCAAAGTGCTGGGATTACAGGCGTGAGCCACCGCGCCTGGCAAGGGACTTTGGTCTTTCTTGCTTGGGGCTGGGATGAGTGTGTACTTGTGAGAAGAAGGAGGCACAAGGCAGATTGGGTGGCCACAGCTGTAACCTGGAGCCACAGAGCAGGCTTCTGTTACACACTATTCTTCTTTTCTTCACTTTAACAGAACCATCCCTTGAGGTTTAGCTGGGGGCACCTGGCTGCCCAGCTACAGACTAGATTTTCCAGACTAATTTATATCAATTTTCTTTATTCCTTTAAAAGTTGTTTATTTATTGCACTTACATACTAAGATACCATTCTCAAAGGACCACGAAAGCAGAAATGGTTAATATATGAAGCTGTCTATAGGCATGATAGAATAAAAAGTTTAAAAATTATTTGGGTCAGGCTTAAATAACTTTAACAGGTTAAAAAAAGTGTTTGACAATATTCAACAAATAATTCTTCACCTAATTTCTTATTGAAGCAATCACCTTAATATTCATTGGCCTTGATAAATGTGAACACTGGTCATATTTATGTAAATAATGGTCATGTGGCTTTCTTGGCATATCTAAATTCATGTTAGATCTGGCTTAACCTGTGCTTATGTATGTATATGTTACAGTTATGTACATTAAATGTGTGTGTAAGAGTTGGAATTATTTGAAAGATAGCAAAATTTTAACTAGAAAAAATAAGTTAATATCTAATAATAGTTGACTTGTTGATTAAAATAAGTAGTTATTATGAAAGAGAAAAAAGGTGATTTCAAATTGATTCAGAAGAACTGGCCTAGCAACTAAGATTGTATGCTTTCCTTTTTTTTTAAAAAAAAAAAGAACGGATATAATGTTATGTGACAATTAAATACAGAAATTACAAAACTAGTTAAATTGATGTTGCCATTAAAGCAACATTAAATAGTTTTGGGGGAGAAGAAAGAAGCCGAGAAGATGGTATCTGTGCAGTTAAGATGGTCATGTCATTTGATACATGTAAACAGAAAGCAGCCTGAGGCCCACACCTGCACCATGCTGAAAGAGCTGACCAGCGTTATATGTTCAGTCCTAGATGAAATGCTGCATTTGTTTTTTAAACACTGGTATGCATTGTTTTAAAAATGTATAAAATAACAGTGAAAAGTTAAAGAATCGTAAGAATGTAGCTAAAGGTAAAAAAAATTTGCAAAGCCATAATTTTTATGATGAAACAATATATTTTTTATCTTTTACGTATAATGTTTTAATGCTTTTTTAGCCCAATGAAATGTGGAAGTGTTTTGTGATTTTTATCTTACTATAGTGATTGTTTTATAAACAAAGAAAAAATTAATTCAGGATTGCAGATATGGTAAACTATTAAAATAGTTTGGGTATTAAAATATGAAATAATTGGGTATTAATTCAAAATCCAAGAGTTGCCATTGAACAAACCTGTAGGCATAGGTAAGTGCTGAGGTGAAAGTGCCAACCAAAGCCGTTAGATTGAACATTTATGCCTGGAGGGAATCAGTAGAGGAACTGGCTGTGGACCTTCACCTCTGCATCCCCTTTGCTTTCTGCTGTAGCTGGGTATCACAAAAACAACAACAAAAGCCACTTATTTCTTAAAGACAGAGAAAGGATAGTTCCTTCCATTTAGGCATTCCTAAATTGCCTCCCCGGTGGCCCCTGCGCTCTTGGAGGAGGTCAAGGCAGAGCAGACCCTCAGGTGGGGGAGCGATGCACTTGACCCTGAGGACATCAGGTACCAGGCCCACTAGCCCCCGCAGGCGCGGAGCTGCGGCTGCAGCCACCAGCCTAGACGTGGCGCGCCCGCAGCAAGTGGCTGGACACCGCAGACCAGGCCCGCGTCCCCAGCAGCGCGGATCCCGGGGCCAGCCGCCCAGGCAGCAAAGTCAGGCGGTCGGCTTCGCCAGCAGCCGATGAGTCTCATCCTGTGGATTGCCCAGCGCCAGGGATCAGGATCCGGAGAGGTGTCCAGGAGGAGCAGACCCTCAGACCAGGTAGGCTGTGCACTCAGTGACCCTGACGCCATCCAAGGGAAGCTCCGCCATCCCGCGCCAGTGCCAGAGCTGCAACTGCAAACTGCGCGTCCTGGCACGAGCAGCGGTGGGGGCGGGTGGGGGAAGGAGCGAGTGACTCTCCAGGCGTCTTCCGCTACCTGACACCAGCCAGGCAGCCCCCAGGGCCAGAGCGTCAGCGCCGAAGCCAGGCTCATCCGGGAAGCCACTCCGGTGGCCGCGGGGTGCCCATGCCAGCACCAGATCTCTCTTCGGAAGGAGGAGCGGGGCGGGCTACACGGCCAGGCGGGCCCTCCCCTTAAGGCGGGGTGGGCCGCGCGCCTGCGATTTTCCGTCCGTGGTCCTGGGGCAGCCCTGGCCAGCCCAGGAGAACCCGCGAGCCCAGCGGCGCCTGCACCTGCGGCTTCCGGGAGCCGGGCGGCTTTGCGAGGCTCACTAGGTCTGAGAGGTCGGAGGCCGCCAGTGTCGCTGCTGAAGGGTGGACCAGGCGGGATCGCGGATTCTGGGCTAGATCGCAGACTTGGTATCGCGGATTGGGATTTGGATCGGGGATTTTGAGTTGGATCACGGATTGGGGGTTGGATCACGGATTGGGGTTTGGATCGCGGATTGGGGGTTGGATAGGGGATTTGGAGTTGGATTGGGGATTTGGGGCTGGGTGTGGGGCGAGGGGGAGTGAAAAGGTGACACGGAGCTGCCGCGGCTCAGGAGCCAGTGGTTGGGGGTCTGAGAAGAACTCACCACCTTGAAGAAGTTCTTCGGCTTTGGGAGCCGCAGGGGCCGGCGGTCCGGGGCTCCCTAGGCCACGTCTACAGGGGTTCGGGGTACCGAATCGGAAGATCCACAGGGCGCTGTCAAGGGCGAAGCCGCGGAAGTGGAGCGCTGCCTGGCGCGCAGGAGCAGAGACCTGGAAGCCGGGGACAGGCAGCACAGGCAGTGGGGTGGGGGCTCAGCCCAGGGTGGGAGGGGGTCCCCAGGCCCGGCTTCCCCGCAGCCCCTGGGATGGGGCCTCAGAGGGCACCCTCAGAGGGGTGGTGCCAAACGGAGCCTCAGCTGCTCTGCATCCCCCATAATTCCCCAGCTGGAGCGCTTGGTGGAGAATGTGAGTGATTTAACTCACCAAGCTAAGCATACACAGTGTTATTTTTAACCTACACGTTTAAAACATGGTGTTATATACATTATAGGAGGTGCCTAATGAGAGAACTCATTCCTCTATCAAAAAATACCGTGAGTCGGCCGGGCGCGGTGGCTCAGGCCTGTAATCCCAGCACTTTGGGAGGCCGAGGCGGGCGGATCACCAGGTCAAGAGATCGAGACCATCCTGGCTAACACGGTGAAACCCCGTCTCTACTAAAAATACAAAAAAAAAAAAAAAAATTAGCCGGGCGTGGTGGCGGGCGCCTGTAGTCCCAGCTACTCGGGAGGCTGAGGCAGGAGAATGGCGTGAACCCGGGAGGCGCAGCTTGCAGTGAGCCGAGATGGCGCCACTGCACTCCAGCCTGGGCGACAGAGCGAGACTCCGTCTCCAAAAAAGAAAAACAAACAAACAAACAAAAAACCGTGAGTCATTTTCAGTAGCGAAAAGCTCTCACCTAAAACTGTCCGTTTTACATCCGTATCCACCTGTGTAGATCGGTTCTTTACTGAAGGTTCTTAGAAGGAAACTTGGAAGTGGGAGGTGGGTTCTGTGTTCCTGAATGGGAAGACACATTTTTCTCAAAATGTGAGCTCTTTCTGTGATTATCAATTTTACATAAGCCGAATGAAAAAATCAAGGTTTTAACATTTTTGCATGACACCTACTGTCTTTTACTATTGTAATGACATTTGTAAAAATTTTAGGGCTGGGCGCGGTGGCTCAGGCCTGTAATCCCAGCACTTTGGGAGGCCGAGGTGGGCGGATCACGAGGTCAGGAGATTGAGATTGAGACCATCCTGGCAAACACGGTGAAACCCTGTCTGTACTAAAAATACAAAAAAAAAAAAAAAAAAAAAAAATAGCCGGGCGTGGTGGTGGGCGCCCATAGTCCCAGCTACTCCGGAGGCTGAGGCAGGAGAATGCTGTGAACCCGGGAGGGGGAGCTTGCAGTGAGCCGCCATCCAGAAGTGCTGGGATTACAGGTGTGAGCCACCGCGCCCGGCCTGAAAAGTGCATCTTCATTTTACAGGGAATTCTTTCAAATCAAATAATCAAAAACTGTAAAAGGGGGCAAAGTACTTTTTTGCAGATCTACAAGTTTCTTATGTAAATAGGAAAAAAAGCCTTTGCTTTTCTGGTATAAGAATTTAAATTAAAAGAGGAATGAAACTGTTTTCTATCCACAATGTGTGAGGATGTTTTTTATACTGCTGCCTGAAGTTTAAGTTGCTGATTACTTTTTAAATAGATAATTTGGTGGTAAGTACTATATTTTAAAAATGCGTATGCCCGTTACCCTTCAATTCCATTATACTAAAATACCCTTGGGAAATAGAGATACATGCACTTTGTTTTTCACAGCACTTATTTTAAAAAGAACCCATAGAATGGATCTTATAAGTAAATTTCAGTTGCATCCATAGGATGCAATAATATGTGACCATCAAAGGTGACAATAGATATAGAAGTACGTTGATGTGCGAAGATGTATTTTGTTTTAGCCAGCGAGGAAAAAAGAATCAGTTTGATTACACATTTACCAAACATTAAGAATTTAATATGGTAACTTTTATTTCAGTATTAAAATAGCAATTTTATTTATTACTTTTTTATATACAGAATTCGACACCAAATTTTGGAACTTAAAAAGAAGATTCTTAAAACTTACAATCCAGGTAAGACTTCTGATAGTGAATTTCTCATTTCTCATGGTGGTCCTACTCTTGGTTTAAAAAAATTAAGATGTAAGATTAAGGTAGTTTTGAAGGAAAAGAAAAGTTTAAAAAGATGTGTAAATTGCATGTATATATACATATATACATACATGTAAATTAGTTTCTTATATTTAACTTCTTTAGTTTGGAATTAAGAGTTATTTAAGAAGGTAGTTGTAGCTGATTTATAATCTCAAACAGTATTATCTGAAAAAAAATCATTTACTTAATTATGATCCCGAAAATCCTATATAATATTTATGTTTTCTCTATAGTCACATTGTAACAAATTGGACTTGTTATACATATGGATCTTCTAGTTCATTTTTGTAATAAGTTGTTTATTTTTATAATAAATTGTTTATATTTAGTAAATACATAATTACACTTGACCCATGAATAATGTGGGGGTTAGGGGCTCTGATTCCAGTGCAGCTGAAAATCTAAGTATAACTTTTGATTTTCCCAATTTAGCTACTAATAGCCCACTATTGACTGGAAGCCTTCCTGATAACATAAACGGTCGATTAACACCTATTTTATTTGTGCTGCATTATTATATACTGTGTTCTTACAATAAAGTAAGCTAGACAAGTGAAGCTGTTAGAAAGAAAATCTGCAGGAAAAATATATTGACTTTTCATAAAGCGTAAATGGATCCTCACAAAGGTCTTCATCTTTATCATCTTCAGGTTGTTCAGGCTGAGAAGGAAGAGAGGTTGGTCTTGCTGTCTCTGGGTTGCAGAGGCAGAAGAAAATCTGCATATAAATGAACTCCTGCAGCTCAAACCCTTGCTGTTCAAGGGTGAACTGTATTACCTGTTAATTTGTGTCACTAAGGAAGTATCTTTAGAACCGGGAACTCAACAATCCCTTTCTCGTAGAATAAATAAATGGCAGTAAGAACTGTAAAAGTGAACCAGTGTGCACCCATACGAATAGGAGATTATTTTTTGAAGATACCTACTGAGTGCAGAAGACAGAAAAGCAATTCCTTTGTGAGAAGCACAAGTTATGTTACATATTCTTACATAAGCAAAATGGTTTTATCTGTCATAGTTTACACACACACGTGCACATACACACATGTGCGTTCGGGTGCGCACACACACACACACACGCACACAAAGTTAAAAGTCCTGCTGATTGTTAATGACCAAATCCACTGCTTGCAGGGAGTAGTGGATAACACAGCCTACAGCTTGCATGCAATTCTTTTGGCTTTTTGACTTGTTCTGTGATGAACTGCCTTGAATGGGTCAACCATATTTTAGTTTTATAAGAAATGAAAAGATTAGAAGCAAGTAAAAGGAACTCTATGATCAGTAGTTATACTATTATACTATATTCAATGGTTATGTTTTTTTCCAGTTATGCAAGTTACTTGAATGATGCACAATTAATTTATTATCATTATTATAAGAGATGGGCTCTCTCTATGTTGCCCAGGCTAGAATATGGTGTCTATTCAGTGGTACAGTCATAGCTCACTGTAGCCTGGAACTTCTGGGCTCAAGCAGTCGTCCCACCTCATCCTCCTGAGTAGCTGGGATTGTAGCTATGTGTAGTTACATCTAGCTGGATACACAATCATTTGTTTATTTATTTATTCATTTTTATTATTATTATTTTTTGAGACAGGTCCCCCTCTGTTGCCAGTACTGGAGTGCAGTGGTGGGATCTATCTTGGCTCCCTGCAACTTCTGCTTTCTGGCCTTAAATGATTCTTTCACCTCAGCCTCCCAAGTAGCTGGGACTACAGGCATGCCCCACCACACTTGGCTAATTTTCCTTTTAAGGTTTTTTTTTTCCTCACTATATTGCCCAGGCTGGTCTGGAAGTCTGGAACTTCTGGGCTCAAGTGATCCTCCTGCTTTGGCCTCCCAAAATGCTAGGATTTTATGGATGTGAGCCACCACACCTGGCCTGCACAATTATTATAAAAAGGAATTAAGCCCAGTTGAGTTGCAGAAAATTGACCACCTTTTCATTTTTTTTTTTTTCTAGAAACATTCATATTGTAGAACATATTGTCAATCATCAAGATTCCCTATTTTTTATTCTGGTAAAACTAGGATTGCTGCTTATTTCCCATTATTTTCTAACAATTGCTTCACTTATTTCTTTTTTTTTTTTTTTTTTTTTTTTATTATACTCTAAGTTTTAGGGTACATGTGCACATTGTGCAGGTTAGTTACATATGTATACATGTGCCATGCTGGTGCGCTGCACCCACTAATGTGTCATCTAGCATTAGGTATATCTCCCAATTCTATCCCTCCCCCCTCCCCCGACCCCACCACAGTCCCCAGAGTGTGATATTCCCCTTCCTGTGTCCATGTGATCTCATTGTTCAATTCCCACCTATGAGTGAGAATATGCGGTGTTTGGTTTTTTGTTCTTGTGATAGTTTACTGAGAATGATGGTTTCCAATTTCATCCATGTCCCTACAAAGGATATGAACTCATCATTTTTTATGGCTGCATAGTATTCCATGGTGTATATGTGCCACATTTTCTTAATCCAGTCTATCATTGTTGGACATTTGGGTTGGTTCCAAGTCTTTGCTATTGTGAATAGTGCCGCAATAAACATACGTGTGCATGTGTCTTTATAGCAGCATGATTTATACTCATTTGGGTATATACCCAGTAATGGGATGGCTGGGTCAAATGGTATTTCTAGTTCTAGATCCCTGAGGAATCGCCACACTGACTTCCACAATGGTTGAACTAGTTTACAGTCCCACCAACAGTGTAAAAGTGTTCCTATTTCTCCGCATCCTCTCCAGCACCTGTTGTTTCCTGACTTTTTAATGATTGCCATTCTAACTGGTGTGAGATGATATCTCATAGTGGTTTTGATTTGCATTTCTCTGATGGCCAGTGATGATGAGCATTTCTTCATGTGTTTTTTGGCTGCATAAATGTCTTCTTTTGAGAAGTGTCTGTTCATGTCCTTCGCCCACTTTTTGATGGGGTTGTTTGTTTTTTTCTTGTAAATTTGTTTGAGTTCATTGTAGATTCTGGATATTAGCCCTTTGTCAGATGAGTAGGTTGCGAAAATTTTCTCCCATGTTGTAGGTTGCCTGTTCACTCTGATGGTAGTTTCTTTTGCTGTGCAGAAGCTCTTTAGTTTAATTAGATCCCATTTGTCAATTTTGTCTTTTGTTGCCATTGCTTTTGGTGTTTTGGACATGAAGTCCTTGCCCACGCCTATGTCCTGAATGGTAATGCCTAGGTTTTCTTCTAGGGTTTTTATGGTTTTAGGTTTAACGTTTAAATCTTTAATCCATCTTGAATTGATTTTTGTATAAGGTGTAAGGAAGGGATCCAGTTTCAGCTTTCTACATATGGCTAGCCAGTTTTCCCAGCACCATTTATTAAATAGGGAATCCTTTCCCCATTGCTTGTTTTTCTCAGGTTTGTCAAAGATCAGATAGTTGTAGATATGCGGCATTATTTCTGAGGGCTCTGTTCTGTTCCATTGATCTATATCTCTGTTTTGGTACCAGTACCATGCTGTTTTGGTTACTGTAGCCTTGTAGTATAGTTTGAAGTCAGGTAGTGTGATGCCTCCAGCTTTGTTCTTTTGGCTTAGGATTGACTTGGCAATGCGGGCTCTTTTTTGGTTCCATATGAACTTTAAAGTAGTTTTTTCCAATTCTGTGAAGAAAGTCATTGGTAGCTTGATGGGGATGGCATTGAATCTGTAAATTACCTTGGGCAGTATGGCCATTTTCACGATATTGATTCTTCCTACCCATGAGCATGGAATGTTCTTCCATTTGTTTGTGTCCTCTTTTATTTCCTTGAGCAGTGGTTTGTAGTTCTTGAAGAGGTCCTTCACATCCCTTGTAAGTTGGATTCCTAGGTATTTTATTCTCTTTGAAGCAATTGTGAATGGGAGTTCACCCATGATTTGGCTCTCTGTTTGTCTGTTGTTGGTGTATAAGAATGCTTGTGGTTTTTGTACATTGATTTTGTATCCTGAGACTTTGCTGAAGTTGCTTATCAGCTTAAGGAGATTTTGGGCTGAGACGATGGGGTTTTCTAGATAAACAATCATGTCGTCTGCAAACAGGGACAATTTGACTTCCTCTTTTCCTAATTGAATACCCTTTATTTCCTTCTCCTGCCTGATTGCCCTGGCCAGAACTTCCAACACTATGTTGAATAGGAGCGGTGAGAGAGGGCATCCCTGTCTTGTGCCAGTTTTCAAAGGGAATGCTTCCAGTTTTTGCCCATTCAGTATGATATTGGCTGTGGGTTTGTCATAGATAGCTCTTATTATTTTGAAATACGTCCCATCAATACCTAATTTATTGAGAGTTTTTAGCATGAAGGGTTGTTGAATTTTGTCAAAGGCTTTTTCTGCATCTATTGAGATAATCATGTGGTTTTTGTCTTTGGCTCTGTTTATATGCTGGATTACATTTATTGATTTGCGTATATTGAACCAGCCTTGCATCCCAGGGATGAAGCCCACTTGATCATGGTGGATAAGCTTTTTGATGTGCTGCTGGATTCGGTTTGCCAGTATTTTATTGAGGATTTTTGCATCAATGTTCATCAAGGATATTGGTCTAAAATTCTCTTTTTTGGTTGTGTCTCTGCCCGGCTTTGGTATCAGAATGATGCTGGCCTCATAAAATGAGTTAGGGAGGATTCCCTCTTTTTCTATTGATTGGAATAGTTTCAGAAGGAATGGTACCAGTTCCTCCTTGTACCTCTGGTAGAATTCGGCTGTGAATCCATCTGGTCCTGGACTCTTTTTGGTTGGTAAACTATTGATTATTGCCACAATTTCAGAGCCTGTTATTGGTCTATTCAGAGATTCAACTTCTTCCTGGTTTAGTCTTGGGAGAGTGTATGTGTCGAGGAATGTATCCATTTCTTCTAGATTTTCTAGTTTATTTGCGTAGAGGTGTTTGTAGTATTCTCTGATGGTAGTTTGTATTTCTGTGGGATCGGTGGTGATATCCCCTTTATCATTTTTTATT
The DNA here is from genome assembly GCF_000001405.40 of Homo sapiens. Classification (NCBI taxonomy): domain Eukaryota; kingdom Metazoa; phylum Chordata; class Mammalia; order Primates; family Hominidae; genus Homo; species Homo sapiens. The sequence goes on along the minus strand of NC_000005.10, from coordinate 177,775,406 downwards.
GTGTCTATTTGATTCTTCTCTCTTTTTTTCTTTATTAGTCTTGCTAGCGGTCTATCAATTTTGTTGATCCTTTCAAAAAACCAGCTCCTGGATTCATTGATTTTTTGAAGGGTTTTTTGTGTCTCTATTTCCTTCAGTTCTGCTCTGATTTTAGTTATTTCTTGCCTTCTGCTAGCTTTTGAATGTGTTTGCTCTTGCTTTTCTAGTTCTTTTAATTGTGATGTTAGGGTGTCAATTTTGGATCTTTCCTGCTTTCTCTTGTAGGCATTTAGTGCTATAAATTTCCCTCTACACACTGCTTTGAATGCGTCCCAGAGATTCTGGTATGTGGTGTCTTTGTTCTCGTTGGTTTCAAAGAACATCTTTATTTCTGCCTTCATTTCGTTATGTACCCAGTAGTCATTCAGGAGCAGGTTGTTCAGTTTCCATGTAGTTGAGCGGCTTTGAGTGAGATTCTTAATCCTGAGTTCTAGTTTGATTGCACTGTGGTCTGAGAGATAGTTTGTTATAATTTCTGTTCTTTTACATTTGCTGAGGAGAGCTTTACTTCCAACTATGTGGTCAATTTTGGAATAGGTGTGGTGTGGTGCTGAAAAAAATGTATATTCTGTTGATTTGGGGTGGAGAGTTCTGTAGATGTCTATTAGGTCTGCTTGGTGCAGAGCTGAGTTCAATTCCTGGGTATCCTTGTTGACTTTCTGTCTCGTTGATCTGTCTAATATTGACAGTGGGGTGTTAAAGTCTCCCATTATTAATGTGTGGGAGTCTAAGTCTCTTTGTAGGTCACTCAGGACTTGCTTTATGAATCTGGGTGCTCCTGTATTGGGTGCATAAATATTTAGGATAGTTAGCTCCTCTTGTTGAATTGATCCCTTTACCATTATGTAATGGCCTTCTTTGTCTCTTTTGATCTTTGTTGGTTTAAAGTCTGTTTTATCAGAGACTAGGATTGCAACCCCTGCCTTTTTTTGTTTTCCATTTGCTTGGTAGATCTTCCTCCATCCTTTTATTTTGAGCCTATGTGTGTCTCTGCACGTGAGATGGGTTTCCTGAATACAGCACACTGATGGGTCTTGACTCTTTATCCAACTTGCCAGTCTGTGTCTTTTAATTGCAGAATTTAGTCCATTTATATTTAAAGTTAATATTGTTATGTGTGAATTTGATCCTGTCATTATGATGTTAGCTGGTGATTTTGCTCATTAGTTGATGCAGTTTCTTCCTAGTCTCGATGGTCTTTACATTTTGGCATGATTTTGCAGCGGCTGGTACCGGTTGTTCCTTTCCATGTTTAGTGCTTCCTTCAGGAGCTCTTTTAGGGTAGGCCTGGTGGTGACAAAATCTCTCAGCATTTGCTTGTCTGTAAAGTATTTTCTTTCTCCTTCACTTATGAAGCTTAGTTTGGCTGGAAATGAAATTCTGGGTTGAAAATTCTTTTCTTTAAGAATGTTGAATATTGGCCCCCACTCTCTTCTGGCTTGTAGGGTTTCTGCCGAGAGATCTGCTGTTAGTCTGATGGGCTTCCCTTTGAGGGTAACCCGACCTTTCTCTCTGGCTGCCCTTAACATTTTTTCCTTCATTTCAACTTTGGTGAATCTGACAATTATGTGTCTTGGAGTTGCTCTTCTCGAGGAGTATCTTTGTGGCGTTCTCTGTATTTCCTGAATCTGAATGTTGGCCTGCCTTGCTAGATTGGGGAAGTTCTCCTGGATAATATCCTGCAGAGTGTTTTCCAACTTGGTTCCATTCTCCACATCACTTTCAGGTACACCAATCAGACGTAGATTTGGTCTTTTCACATAGTCCCATATTTCTTGGAGGCTTTGCTCATTTCTTTTTATTCTTTTTTCTCTAAACTTCCCTTCTTGCTTCATTTCATTCATTTCATCTTCCATTGCTGATACCCTTTCTTCCAGTTGATCGCATCGGCTCCTGAGGCTTCTGCATTCTTCACGTAGTTCTCGAGCCTTGGTTTTCAGCTCCATCAGCTCCTTTAAGCACTTCTCTGTATTGGTTATTCTAGTTATACATTCTTCTAAATTTTTTTCAAAGTTTTCAACTTCTTTGCCTTTGGTTTGAATGTCCTCCCGTAGCTCAGAGTAATTTGATCGTCTGAAGCCTTCTTCTCTCAGCTCGTCAAAATCATTCTCCATCCAGCTTTGTTCTGTTGCTGGTGAGGAACTGCGTTCCTTTGGAGGAGGAGAGGCGCTCTGCGTTTTAGAGTTTCCAGTTTTTCTGTTCTGTTTTTTCCCCATCTTTGTGGTTTTATCTACTTTTGGTCTTTGATGATGGTGATGTACAGATGGGTTTTCGGTGTAGATGTCCTTTCTGGTTGTTAGTTTTCCTTCTAACAGACAGGACCCTCAGCTGCACGTCTGTTGGAATACCCTGCCTTGTGAGGTGTCAGTGTGCCCCTGCTGGGGGGTGCCTCCCAGTTAGGCTGCTCGGGGGTCAGGGGTCAGGGACCCACTTGAGGAGGCAGTCTGCCCGTTCTCAGATCTCCAGCTGCGTGCTGGGAGAACCACTGCTCTCTTCAAAGCTGTCAGACAGGGACACTTAAGTCTGCAGAGGTTACTGCTGCCTTTTTGTTTGTCTGTGCCCTGCCCCCAGAGGTGGAGCCTACAGAGGCAGGCAGGCCTCCTTGAGCTGTGGTGGGCTCCACCCAGTTCGAGCTTCCCGGCTGCTTTGTTTACCTAAGCAAGCCTGGGCAATGGCGGGCGCCCCTCCCCCAGCCTCGTTGCCGCCTTGCAGTTTGATCTCAGACTGCTGTGCTAGCAATCAGCGAGACTCCGTGGGCGTAGGACCCTCTGAGCCAGGTGTGGGATATAGTCTCGTGGTGCGCCGTTTCTTAAGCCGGTCTGAAAAGCGCAATATTCGGGTGGGAGTGACCCGATTTTCCAGGTGCGTCCGTCACCCCTTTCTTTGACTCGGAAAGGGAACTCCCTGACCCCTTGCGCTTCCCAGGTGAGGCAATGCCTCGCCCTGCTTCGGCTCGCGCACGGTGCGCACACACACTGGCCTGCGCCCACTGTCTGGCACTCCCTAGTGAGATGAACCCGGTACCTCAGATGGAAATGCAGAAATCACCCGTCTTCTGCGTCGCTCACGCTGGGAGCTGTAGACCGGAGCTGTTCCTATTCGGCCATCTTGGCTCCTCCCCCCACTTATTTCTTTTATGGCTTTAATCAGTTGAGTATAGAAATACAAGAACCTCCAAGTCAAATATCAAGGAAAGAAAAGAAAAACAGATTAGGGAAAGTTATTCTGTGAAATAACCATCTGATTATAGGTCATGTCAACTTAATGAAAACCTTATATAATGCATTTGTGACAAGGGTTCCCAAGACCACCCCCAGGTTTGGTGATTCACTAGAAGGACTCACAGGATTCAGCAAATAATCATATTCAGATCTTTAATTGATTACAATGAAAGAGTACAAGCAAAATGAGAGGGAAAAGGTGCATGTGGTGGTCAAGTCTGGAGGAAACCAGGCACAAGCTTCCAGAAGTTCTCTCCTGTGGAGTTCCCAGGATCTGCTTAATTCCCCCAGCCTCACATTTTGACAACCCATGTGCAGTGATGTCTACCAGTACCAGAATCTCATTAGAGACTCAGTACCCAAGTGTTTTATATGGAGGTTACTCTCCCTCACATGTACCCACATTCCGACCTTCAGAAGGAAAGCAGCTGCTCAGAAGTAACCGCATTGTTTCTATAAACACTTTAGACACGGTGACCAGTCTTAGGGCATGGTGGGAACCCTCCCAATTCCAATTTCCTAAACAACAGCCAAGGGCCAGGCTTGCATGCGGGTCTTTCTGAGGACGGCAGTCTCTCTCCTGCTATATGAAATCTTTCCTGCACAACAGTTTTAGCCCCAACTTAACTTTTGGTGCTGTTTTAAAATTTCATTTTAACAGCAAATAATATTATAAGATAAGGTAACCTGGTACTAGTTTCTCTTGCATGATCCATCCTGTGTTGCAATGCTGGCTACTTTTTTGACTTCTGGTGACTCACAGGTATTTGAATGGAAGTTACCATAGCAATATTAAGCAATTATAATCTGTCCTTCTTATCTCTTTAACCTTTCAGTGAAAGGGTTAAATTGAATAAGCATAATAATTTCTGAGTTAAAATTAGAATAAAAATGGTCTTTTATTTTGATTATGTGAATCTAGTTTTCATGTCGTGCTAAATCCCTGTTTAGAGTTATGAAATAAGATATTCAATCATTTTATCAATATTTTCTTGCCTAAGCTTGCAATTGAATTTATTTGTTTTATGTATTTTCTATACTGCAATTTGAGAAATCATGCCCACATGCTGTTACTTTGGTCTTTAATGATCTCCAATTTTTAGGGTTACCACTGTGTCCTGCTTAAATATATCATAATAACAGATTCAGTGAATATCTTTTATTTTTTATTTTTGTTCTGGAAATCCTGGGATGCACAGACAATGAATATGTTTTTTAAATCAATAACTCTATTTCTTATAGCAGTTTTAGGTTCACAGCAAAATCGGAGGAAGGTACAGAGATTTCTCCTATGTTCCATGCCTCCCACACATGCACGGCCTCCCCCATGATTAGTATTTTCCACCAGAGTGGTACATTTGTTACAACTGATGATCCTACATTGACACATTATAATCACTCCAAGTTCATAGTTGACATCAGGCTCCATTCTTAATACTGTACATTCTGTGAATTTGGACAAATGTATAATGACATGTGTCTATTTATTATAGATAGAACAGTTTCACTGCCCTAAAAATGCTCTATTCTCTGCCTGTTCATCTCTCCCTTTCTCCCTAGCAGCTGCTGGAAACCACTGATCTTTTATCTGTCTTCATAGTTTTACTTTTTTCAGGAGAGTCATATAGTTGAAATAATACAGTGGATATCTTTTTGAATAGTTAAAAAAGTAAAGTTCCATGGTAATTGAATGTAGTCATTTAAGATGTTCTTTGTCCTTTTGTTTTTCTTTAGCTTCTTTGTCTTTGTAAGGTCTGATGACATATGCTTTACATACTTAGGAAACATGATTTGTATAGGCCTTTGCCACATAATGGAAAGGGTTGAGGAAAATGACACCATGCAATACCACACAGCACAAACTGGAGCATCTTGCTCCAGTGAGGTGGGTCCAGATAGACTCCCTAGCAATGGAAGGGGAGAAGCTCAAGAGGTTGTACTTTAAAAAACTGGAATCACAAAGTCTTTCATACTTACCTTGGGTTGGAAATAAGACCAGGCAGTGAATGTTATAGATAAATACATATGTTCCTCACTGATCCTCTTCCTTTGAGGGATGAGTTTGAAAACAGTCTGTGTTATGATGACATGACTCACCTGCAACTAGATTCTGTGTCGTGAGGGACGGCAGTTTTGCTTTGTGTGAGGTGAAAAAGAATTTTTTTCTCCTACTAGGGAAAGGGGCAAGCATTGGAACATTCTGGCAGCAAGAGGGCATTGATAGTTTTCTTTCTGTATATTTTTCATATCATATAGTACTGCCTGGCAGCCTGGCACACCACGCCGGTGTTTCTTAAGCTTCTCTCTGAATGTGAGGCGTGGTTCCGAGTGGATAAGCTCTTAAAGGAGTGATCTTTCCAGTGGTTCTTTCTGTGGGAGGTAAAATGGCAGGTGAATTTGGGCCTTGTTATACGTAGGGCAGAGTATATAGCTACAACTAAGGAAACCACCCAGCACCTTCCCCAGAAGAGTAGTATCCAGAGTAACACATTGAGCTCTCTTGAGCTCTTCTCCACTGGCAGCTGGAAAGTTTTTGCAAGGATCCCTGTTGCTGGTCTGATTCCTATGTTCTGCTGGCTGCTGGTGATAGGGAGTTTTATTCTAAACTGAAAAGTTTTAACTGAAGAGCTAGAGAGGCTGTGTTGTGTTACAACAAAATAAGTGCAGTAGTTCCCCATTAACTATGGGAGATAACGTTCTAAGACACCCCCAGTGAATGCCTGAGACCACAAATAGTACTGAATCACCCACTGGTTTTTCCTACACATACATAACCATGATAATATTTAATGTATAAATTAGGCACAGTAAGAAATGAACAATAAAATAAAAAATTATACTGTAATAAAAGTTACTTGAATGTGGTCTCTTGAAATATATTGCACGGTTCTCACCCTTTTTTTTTTTTTTTTTTTTGGGACGGAGTCTCGCTGTCGCCCAGGCTGGAGTGCAATGCTGTGATCTCGGCTCGCTGCAAGCTCTGCCTCCTGGGTTCACACCATTCTGCTGCCTCAGCCTCTGGAGTAGCTGGGACTACAGGCACCCGCCACAAAGCCCGGCTATTTTTTTTTTTTTTTGGATTTCTTTAGTAGAGGTGGGGTTTCACCATGTTAGCCAGGATGGTCTTGATCTCCTGACCTCGTGATCTGCCCGCCTCGGCCTCCCAAAGTGCTGGGATTACAGGTGTGAGCCACTGCACCCGGCTGGTTCTCACCCTTTTTCTTGTGATGATGTGAAGTGATACAATGCCCATGTAATGAGATGAACTGAGGTGAATGACGTGATCCTAGATAGTCAGGCCTTGATGTTGGCGGCAGGGTACAGGAGGAGACCGTGTTGATGACTAACGGGTGGACAGCATGTGCAGTGTGGGTGCACTGCAGGACGATTCACATCCTGGGCTGGATAGAGGGTGCTGACGGTTTCACTGTGCTTCTCGGAATGGCACACTAAAACTTATGACCTCTTTATTTCTGGAGTTTTCCGTGTATATTTTTGGAATACAGTTGACTATTAGTAACTGTAACCACAGAAATCAAAACTGCAGATGTAAAATCTCTGGATCTTAACTCATTTGTTGGGTACAATTCTTAAAATCCTTAGGATTTCCAAAGTGATGTTTTTTTGTATGCTAATGATCCATGGCTGGAAGCCCCTAGGTAGCTTCAGGATGGGAACTGGTCACCATCCTGAAGACATGATTGATTAGAGTGTTGAGATCTTCTGTCTCATTCAGGAGACTCTGGAGAGGAGAGAAGAGCTGAAGGTTGTCAGTCACCAAAGGCCAGTGATTAATCAGTGATGCCAATATAATGAAGCTTTCATCAAGACCCAAAGTGACTGGGCTTGGAGAGCTTCCAGATGGCTGAATGCATGGAGGCTCCTACAGGGTGGTGTGTCCTGGGAGGGCATGGAATCTCTGTGCCACCTCCCCCATACTTTGCACTATGCATCTCTTCATCTGTATCTTTTGTAATGTCATTCATAGAAAACTGGTAAATGTGTTTCCCTGAGTACTTTGAGCCACTCTAGCAATTCAATTTAACCCAAAGAGGGAGTCCTGGGAACCCCAATTTGAAGACAGTTGGCCAGAAGTTCTGGAGTTTCAGACCTACAACTGATGTAGGGAGGCAGTTTCATGGGACTGAGCCCTTTACCTGTGCAATCTGATGCTATCTGCAGATAGAGTGTGAGAATTGACTTAGAGGATGCCCAGTTTGTGTCATCTGCAGAAATGATTGCTTACTTGTTGGTGGAGAAAAACCCTCCACACGTTTTGTCACAGGAGACTTCTTTGTTGATGATTGTTGCTGTGACGTGACAGCAGAGAAAAACAGGTCAAATGTGTCTTTTCCACACATACAGTGGACAAGGGGTACTACTGTATACTCTGTTTGAACTGCCCGTCATGTTTTGGTCCTGAAATCATGCTCTTTGACACTGTTCATTCATCACACCTGTTCTGCTAACAATACCATTTTTAGTCAATCTCACAGGGTTTGGCTAGGATAACTTGTATACTGCGGTTCACTTGTAGATATCAAATTTTATAAATTTATTCTTCTTTGCATTTAATAAATACAAAGTAAGGGAAGTAAGAGTTCTTACTGCATTAATTATCTACTAATAGGTATAATTAATATTAATTCTAATAAGGTCCCGGTTATGCTCCCAAAGGAATGCTATATAACAAAGCATCAGTCCTATGCTTTAAAAAAGGAAAAGAAAAGAAAAGAAAAAAACATGGTCTGAAGTCTGCACACAAGTGTGCATAACTTTTTTGTGAAGATAGAGTCTTGCTGTTTCCCAAGCTGGCCTCAAACTTCTGGGTTCCTCAAGTGATCCTCCTGCCTCAGCCTCCCAAGTAGTTGGGAATACAGGCATGTATCACTGTGCCTTCTTATGCTTTTAATATTCTATACAATTATTATTGATTTATAATGCAGTATACCTTTTTCTTTAATAGATTCTGGGAGTTCTGATGAATATGCAGTCAGGTAGGATTTTACAGATTTAAAAAAATATGTTAACTAAGGAAATATAGATGGAAGAGATTCATATCTGTTGAGTGTTGTATTCTGGGCTAAACCCCTATTGTGTGCTATGCATTTATCATCCCATAAAGCCATTGCAACATCTGTGTTCTTATAACCTACTGTTTATTACATAGGCAACTGTGGTTTAGAGGTTGATTAATTGGCTCATGACCCCGTAGTTAACAAAGTAGCTGACCCACAGTTAAACCATCAGCCTGTCTGGCTTCCAGATCCCTTATCTTGCTCCTCAGCATAGATTGATAGAAATCTGTGCAGCACTTGGATCAAGGTACACGTCTGAATCAGATTAATTTAGACAGTCAAATCTGGTTGTATGTTAACTCTCATTTAAGGTTATTGTTAGAAATGTGGTTAGTCCAAGAGTTTCTCCTCATAAATTTGACAGTTTCAGTGGTAGCCAATATCTTATTTTACCATCAAAGGCTTTAGGGCAAAGTAAAGGTTTCGCCATAGGATTATAATTTTACAAAAGCAAGATTAGACAAGTCTCAGAAATTATTTGACTTCCCAGTTTGGTTTTCCCTTTAGGCTAGTATTTCTGCTTAATTCCATAATACTTTTTTTTAGACTTTTTCCTTTTTCCATGACATTTCTATAATCCTGTCTTGATGTTGTAAAACTTTCTTCTCTGCTTTTCTTGGTCTTTCGTTATATTATTTTTTCAAAATCTGCTGACTATGTATTCCCAGTTTTCTTATAGACAGAATCAAAAGCACATAGAATTACAGAATTTTAAGGAATCATAGGACCAATTAAAATAACCTCTAGTACTTTAACCTGTGTTAAACATTCTGGTCAAGTGTTTCTCTAGATAGAGAACGTGAGACTCAAAGAGATTAGGATAGTTTTTTTATATATAGGAAGTGGCAGAAAGGAGATTTCAACTCATTTTGAAGCTCAGTACTTGTCTTTCTTTTTTTTTTTTATCCTATTGGCATGTTTTTCTGTTTGTTTTTTGTTTTATTTTGTTTTTTTGAGACAGTCTCTCTCTGCTGCCCAGGCTGGAGTGCAGTGGCACAATCTTGGCTCAATGCAACCTCTGCCGCCCGAGTTCAAGCGATTCTCCTGCCTCAGCCTCCTGAGTAGCTGGGATTACATGCACTTGCCACTACACCCGGGTAGTATTTGTATTTTAAGTAGAGGTGGGGTTTCAGCATCTTGGCCACGCTGGCCTTGAACTTCAGACCTCGATCCACTCGTCTCCACCACCCAAAGTGCTGAGATCACAGGCAAGAGCCACGACGCCCGGTTTGGCATGTGTTTTAATAATACAAAGTAGGTCGGGGCACAGTGGCTCACAACTGTAGGTCCTCATTTGCATGAGCTAAGTTTTTCATAGCAATCAAAAGCAAAGCAAGCCCAGGTGTTCGCCATTCTCCTTAATGGCATCAAGCCCAGGGTTTGAGAGCCGTTTTCATTGGCCCCAGATGACCTGTTCATACCTGTCTTCATTGTGCCCAGCTCGGGGCTTCAAAGCTGGCTTCATCCAGGCCTGCAAAGGTGTTCACAGTGGTCCTCATCTAAGCCAGCCAAGGTGTTCTCTTACCATCCACACGATAGCCAGCCCAGATGTCCCTAGCCGTCCTCATCGAGGCCAGCCAGTTTGTTCACACTCGTGCTTATTGGGGCCAGCCACCTTCATAGAGGTCGTCTCAGGTATTTACAGGCATCCTCACTGGGGCCAGCCCATGTGTCCACAGCTGTCCTCAGTGGGCATAGCCCGGGTGTTCATAGTTTTCCTCACTGGACTTAATCCAGGTGTTCCGAGCAATTCACATGGTCCCAGGCCAGGTGTTGACAGGTGTCCTCAATGGGGATGGCCCAGATGTTCACTGTTGTCTTTATTAGGCCAAGTGCAGATGCCCATAGCTGCCTCACAGGGCTCAGCCAAAAGGAACAAGGCTGTTCTCCTGAGCCCACATCAGGTATTTATAGCTTTCCACATTGGGGTCAGCCCAGGTGTTGGTAGCCATGCATTCTGGGCCAATCCGTTATTCCAAGCTGTTTCCTTGGGCCCAGCCCAGGTGTCCACAGCCATCCTCATTGGTCCAGCACAGGTGTTCAGAGCTATCCTCCTTGGCCCCAGGCCAGATGTTGACACTCGATCTGACTGGGCCCAGACCGGGTATGCAAAGCTGTCTTAACTGGGAGCAGCCCATGCTTTCACAGCGGTCTTCACTGGTGTCAGCCAGGTTTCTCAGAACTGTCACTTGGCCGAACCTTGGTGTACATTGCCATCCCCATGGAGCACAGCTCAGGTATCCATAGCCATCCTCACTGGGGCCAGCTGAGGTGTTCCCAGCCATCCTCATTTGTCTCAGTGCAGGGGTTCACAGCTGTCCTCACTGGCTGAGCCTAGTTGTTCCTCGCAATCATTACTTGAGCAAGACCAGGTGTTCATGGCTGTTCTAATTGGGGGCGAGCCCAGGAGTTAATGGTGCTCCTCATCTGGGCCAGCCCAGGTATTCACAGCCATCCTCATCATGATCAGTTTCAGTGTTCAAAGCTGTCCTCCTGAGGCCAGCCTGGTTGTTCACTGCTGCTTTTACTGGGCCCAGCCCAGGTTTTCCCAGCTTCCCTCACTGGGGCTAGCGCAGGTGTTCACAGCTTTCCTCATTGGGCCCAGGCCATGGGTTCATAGCCATCTTCATCAGGCAAAGCCAAGGTGTTCACAGCCATTTTTTCCGGGTCCAGCCGAAGTCGCCCTCACTTGGGCCCAGCCCAGGCGTTAATAGTCGTCATCAGTGGGATTAGCCCAGTTGTTCACAGCATCTTTCTAGGGCTGAGTTTAGGTGTCAAGAGCCATTCGTCTTGGGCCCAGCCAGCTGTTCATAGGCATCCTCATGGGGACAGGCCCAAGTGCTCACAGTGGCTCTCACTGAAACCAGGGCAGGTGTTTTTGGCTGTCTTCATTGGGCCCAGCCTAGACATTCATAGCTGTGCTCAAGGCGACCAGCCACGATGTTAACAGCTGTCTTCAGGGCAATCGTCCCCGGTGCCACAGCTGTCCTTATTGGCTTAGCCCAAGTGTTCTCAGCTGTTCTCGTTGGACCCAGGCCAGGTGTTCACAGCTGTCCTCACTGGCCCAGCCCAGGTTTCCATAGCCACCCTCACTGGGCCCAGCTCAGGGCTTCACAGCTGTTTACTCTGGGCCGAGTCCAAACACTCCAAGCTATCCTTAGAGGGCCCAGCCAAGGCGTTCACAGCCATCCTCATTGGTAGCTAGCCCAGGTGTTAGTCCTTGTCCTCAGTGGGCCAGACCAGTGTTCACAGACATCCTTATTGGGCCAGCCCAGGAGTTCCATGCTGACCTCGCTGGGCCCTGCCTAGCACTTCATAGCTGTCCTCACTGGGCCCAGGCCAGGTGTTTGCAGCCATCCCCATCAAGGTCAGCCCAGGGGTTCACAGCCTTCCTTGTTTGTATGAACTCAGTTTATTATAGCAACAGTTTTTGATGGCTGTCAATATCAAGGCAGGCCCAGGAGTTCACGCTACCCCTCAGTAACATCAAGCCCAGGGTTAAGAGCCATTTTCACTGGCCCCAGGCCACCTGTTCATAGCTGTCTTCATTGTTTCCAGCCCAGGGCTTCCCAGCTGTCTTCATCCAGGCCTGCGCCGGTGTTCACAGTGGTCCTCATCTAAGCCAGCCAAGAAGATCTCTGTCATCCACGTGACAGCCAGCCCAGATGTCCCTAGCCGTCCTCATCAAGGCCAGCCAGTTTGCTTACACGTGTGCTAATTGGAGCCAGCCACCCTCATAGAGGCCATCCCAGGTACCGACAGCCATCCACACTGGGCCCAGCCCAGGTGTCCACACCTGTCCCCATTGAGCCTAGCCCTGGTGTTCATGGCTTTTGTCACAGGACTTCTCCCAGTTGTTTCCAGCAGTTTCCATGGTCCCAGGCCAGGGTTTCACAGACATCCTCAATGGGGACAGCCCATCTGTTCACCGTTGTCTTAATTAGGCCCAGTGCAGATGTTCACACGTGTCTTCCTTTGGCTCAGCCAAAATGAACAGAACTCCTGAGCGCATACCAGCGGTTTCTAGCTGTCCACATTGGGGCCAGCCCAGGTGTTCGTAGCCCTACGTTCTGGGCCCATCCCAGTTATTCCAAGCTGTCCTCTTGGGCCTAGCCCAGGTGTCCACAGCCATCCTCCTTGGTCCCGGCACAGGTGTTCACAGCTATCCTCCTTGGCCCCAGGCCACATGTTCACATGCCATCTCACTGGGCCCAGAGCAGCTATGGAAATTTTTGCTCTTGAAGTTGAGGTCTGTTTTAATTGAGGTTTCTGAGGTTGTATAGCAGTGTGCAGATGCAGGGGACTTGTGCCCCAGCACTGGGCTGCCTGGCTGTGCCCTGGGCTTGTGTGACCTTCAGTCTGTGCTGGGCTGGAATCTGCTCTAGAGGTTTCCAGATTTCTTTTTACCCTCCACCCCAACAGACCCTCAGGCCTTTTTGTGCTCACTTCCCAAGCTCCCCTTGGACTCTGCTCCAGAGTCCATGTCAGCCCCGCCTGGGACCTTGACTGCCACATCACCCACATTGCTCCTCTCAGCCTGTGATGACGATATATCCAGACCCCTTTCTGCCCCAGAGCTGCAGTGGGTCTCAGAGGAGCCCAGCTTTACCCCACAGTCTACCCTGGGAAGGTGGAGACACATCTGATACTGTCACTGCAGGGGGTGCCCCATATGGCAGCTGCTCCCCCAGGGCTGCCCTGACCCGTCCCCAGCTGTAAGTCCCATGTCACTGGTGTGCACAGGCACTCACCTCTTTAACTTTGTCACGTCCACATTCTTAAGTGTTTGGTGGCACCAGGACCTGGCAGGTCTGAGGGAAGGACCCCTCGAAGCTCAGTTAGTTCTCTATGTCCAGCAAGGATGAGTGTGAGGCCCCGAGCATCGAGCATCGGGAAAACCACGTCAGGTGTTCCTCCCAAGTAGGTGCCCATTGCAGTGCCTGCCCCTGCCAGAGGGCACTGCCTGAGCTAAATCCCCCGTCTCACCTTCCCAGACCTTCACCTGGTTTCAGGGCTCCTCAGCCACCCACATATCGCTGAAATGTCAAAGAGCTTGTGAGGAAGCTTCTGGGGCACCTGCCTTCTAGAGGAGGCTGAGGGCAGCTGCGGATGGTTATTTATGGGGATGTTTTTGGCCTGGGCCACAAGCAGGTGGGTAAGTGGCACAGGGATGGCAGCTTAAGGTGCCCTGGCTTCTCTGCGTGGCTGTCACTGAGCAGAGGAGTCCGGGCCTGCCAGCAGGTTCCATCCTAGCTTATTCTCTGTGTGTCCTCAGTTGGGGTACCTACCCGGTCTCTGCCTCAGTTTCCTCCTCTGTGAGACAGTGATCCTAACAGGCCCTACCTCTGACAGTGGTTTTGATGAAGTACGCGATGTGGGTGAAGCACCTGGAGCTGGCCCACTCACAAAGAACGCGCCACAAACTCTCAAGGTTAATGTTGAAAAGGGGCTGGGGTGGGGCAAAAGTGGGCAGGCCATTTCCGCTCCAGGTGCCTGGGCTGACAGATTGGATTAAATTAGCATGTGCATTGCTGAGTGCACAGGGGACAGTTGCCCAGGCCAGAGGCATCAGGGTCAAAGCTGGTGATGCCTTGGCCTCATCACCCCAGGCTAGGGCCAGTGCATGATGTAGTCGGCCAGGGGAGGGCTCTGGAGCCCTGCAGCCGAGGGGGCCTGGTGACCCTCACAAGGTCATTCACAGGCCACTAGGATGGCCTGCCCTTTTCCGGCCAGGCCTCACTCTAGGAAAAAAAAAAATTGATTGTAACCTCGTTGGCAGTTTCCTTTGCATAGAAGTGGGAATTCGCTGCTAGCGAGGCTGGTGATGAACTCCGCAAAAGCTGGGAAATCTCGTTTGAGCAGGAGCGCCCATTATCTTGGCCAAGCTGCTGCAGCTGGGCTGAGTGGGTGTGGAAGTGTGGGTGGTAGTCATGTAAGTTCTCCAGCCAAGCCCAAGTTCCTCTGCAGACCTGTGCATGATGGCATATCCAGATGATTCCAACCTCCTGCTGTGGATTCAGTCCCGCTTCATAAGACTTCTCTGCAGTCCCCAGACATCAACAAGGACCAATAAGCTATCTTTTCTGTGTCTTACCTGAATTCTTGTCCCTGTGAAGCATTAGCAAATTGAAATGTTTGTTTTCTACCAGCATTTGGGGGTATTAGTTTTTTTTATTTAAAAATAATCACAGTAAAGACATCAGGAATAACACACTTGTAGGACATTCACGAGGTACAGAAGAATGCACACCGAAATCTGGACTTGTCTTTTCCTCTTCTGTAGCCTGCCAGCTTCTGCCTCTGGAAGTAACAACTGTTAAGTTTCTGCACATCTTTCCAGATTTATTAATTGAACAATCATATAGCACTGACACCGTGACAAAGCTTTGTCAAAGGACTTTGGCTACCAGTGTAAAAGACTCATTTATTTTCATTTACTGTGAACACTTAGGTGGCACCAGGAAGGAAAGCCTTATGCTCATTCCTTTTTATTCTTCCTAACATATTCTGTTTTTAAAAATGTCTTTTCCAGGGGCTGGGCACAGTGGCTCACGCCTGTAATACCAACACTTTGGGAGGCCGAGGCGGGTGGATCACTTGGTCAAGAGATCGACACCATCCTGGATAACACGGTGAAACCCTGTCTCTACTAAAAATACAAAAAATTAGCTGGGCACAGTGGCGGGCGCCTGTAGTCCCAGCTACTCGGGAGGCTGAGGCAGGAGAATGGCGTGAACCTGGGAGGCAGAGGTTGCAGTGAGCCGAGATCGTGCCACTGCACTCCAGCCTGGGCGACAGAGCAAGACTCCATCTCAAAAAAAAAAAAAAAAAAAGGTCTTTCCCAATTTGGCATTAAGAGATATAAATCTGTGGTCTGGTATTTTTTAATTGAGTTTTCTCACTCTCTCTCATATATGTGTATATATATATATGTGCACACCTGCCCAATTTTCTATTCAGTTGTTGACAATTAAAATTCTCCATTTACACAGGTAATATGTGTTCCTTCCCAAATTCTGTTAACCACCCCTTCAATTAGATAATTCCTGAAAAAAAATGCAACATCTATGTTAATGCAGTTTTTTTTGTTTTTTTTTATTTTTTACTTTTTGTTTATTATACTATAAGTTTTAGGGTACATGTGCACAACGTGCAGGTTTGTTACATATGTATACATGTGCCATGTTGGTGTGCTGCACCCATTAACTTGTCATTTAACATTAAGTATATCTCCTAATGCTATCCCTCCCCCCCACAACAGGCCCCGGTGTGTGATGCTCCCCTTCCTGTGTGCATGTGTTCTCATTGTTCAATTACCACCTATGAGTGAGAACATGTGGTATTTGGTTTTTTGTCCTTGCTATAGTTTGCTGAGAATGATGGTTTCCAGCTTCATCCATGTCCCTACAAAGGACATGAACTCATCATTTTTTATGGCTGCATAGTATTCCATGGTGTATATGTGCCACATTTTCTTAATCCAGTCTATCATTGTTGGACATTTGGGTTGGTTCCAAGTCTTTGCTATTGTGAATAGTGCCACAATAAACATACGTGTGCATGTCTTTATAGCAGCATGATTTATAATCCTCTGGGTATATACCCAGTAATAGGATGGCTGGGTCGAATGGTATTTCTAGTTCTAGATCCCTGAGGAATTGCCACTCTCTCTTCCACAATGGTTGAACTAGTTTACAGTCCCACCAACAGTGTAAGTGTTCCTATTTCTCCACATCCTCTCCAGCACCTGTCGTTTCCTGACTTTTTAAAGATCACCATTCTAACTGGTGTGAGATGGTATGTCATTGTGGTTTTGATTTGCATTTCTCTGATGGCCAGTGATGATGAGCATTTTTTCATGTGTCTGTTGGCTGCATAAATGTCTTCTTTTGAGAAGTGTCTCTTCGTATCCTTTGCCCACTTCTTAATGGGGTTGTTTTTTTCTTGTAAATTTGAGTTCTTTGTAGATTCTGGATATTAGCCCTTTATCAGGTGAGTAGATTGCAAAAATTTTTCTCCCATTCTGTAGGTTCCCTGTTCACTCTGATGGTAGTTTCTTTTCTGTGCAGAAGCTCTTTAGTTTAATTAGATCCCATTTGTTAATTTTGGCTTTCATTGTCATTGCTTTTGGTGTTTTAGACATGAAGTCCTTGCCCATGCCTATGTTCTGAATGGTATTGCCTAGGTTTTCTTCTAGGGTTTTTATGGTTTAAGTCTAACATTTAAGTCTTTAATCCATCTTGAATTAATTTTTGTAAAAGGTGTAAGGAAGGGATCTAGTTTCAGCTTTCTACATATGGCTAGCCAGTTTTCCCAGCACCATTTATTATATAGGGAATCCTTTCCCCATTTCTTGTTTTTGTCAGGTTTGTCAAAGATCAGATAGTTGTAGATATGTGGCATTATTTCTGAGGGCTCTGTTCTGTTCCATTGGTCTATATCTCTGTTTTGGAACCAGTACCATGCTGTTTTGGTTACTGTAGCCTTGTAGTATAGTTTGAAGTCAGGTAGCATGATGCCTCCAGCTTTGTTCTTTTGGCTTAGGATTGACTTGGCGATGCGGGCTCTTTTTTGGTTCCATATGAACTTTAAAGTAGTTTTTTCCAATTCAGTGAAGAAAGTCATTGGTAGATTGACGGGGATGGCATTGAATCTATAAATTACCTTGGGCAGTATGGCCATTTTCACAATATTGATTCTTTCTACCCATGAGCATGGAATGTTCTTCCATTTCTTTGTATCCTCTTTTATTTCATTGAGCAGTGGTTTGTAGTTCTCCTTGAAGAGACCCTTCACATCCCTTGGAAGTTGGATTCCTAGGTATTTTATTCCCTTTGAAGCAATTGTGAATGGGAGTTCACTCATGATTTGGCTCTCTGTTTGTCTGTTATTGGTGTATAAGAATGCTTGTGATTTTTGTACATTGATTTCGTATCCTGAGACTTTGCTGAAGTTGCTTATCAGCTTAAGGAGATTTTGGGCTGAGACGATGGGGTTTTCTAGATATACAATCATGTCATTTGCAAACAGGGACAATTTGACTTCCTCTTTTCCTAATTGAATACCCTTTATTTCCTTCTGCCTGATTGCCCTGGCCAGAACTTCCAACACTATGTTGAAGAGGAGTGGTGAGAGAGGGCATCCCTGTCTTGTGCCAGTTTTCAAAGGGAATGCTTCCAGTTTTTGCCCATTCAGTATGATATTGGCTGTGGGTTTGTCATACATAGCTCTTATTATTTTGAGATACGTCCCATCAATAACTAATTTATTGAGAGTTTTTAGCATGAAGGGCTGTTGAATTTTGCCAAAGGCCTTTTCTGCATCTATTGAGATAATCATGTGGTTTTTGTCTTTGGTTCTGTTTATATGCTGGATTACGTTTATTGATTTGCGTATGTTGAACCAGCCTTGCATCCCAGGGATGAAGCCCACTTGATCGTGTTGGATAAGCTTTTTGATGTGCTGCTGGATTCGGTTTGCCAGTATTTTATTGAGGATTTTTGCATCGATGTTCATCAGGGATATGGGTCTAAAAGTCTCTTTTTTTGTTGTGTCTCTGCCAGGCTTTGGTATCAGGATGATGCTGGCCTCATAAAATGAGTTAGAGAGGATTCTCTCTTTTTCTATTGATTGGAATAGTTTCAGAAGGAATGGTACCAGCTCCTCCTTGTACCTCTGGTAGAATTCGGCTGTGAATCCATCTGGTCCTGGACTTTTTTTGGTTGGTAAGCTATTAATTATTGCCTCAATTTCAGAGCCTGTTGGTCTGTTCAGATATTCAACTTCCTCCTGGTTTAGTCTTGTGAGATTGTATGTGTCAAGGACTTTATCCATTTCTAGATTTTCTAGTTTATTTGTGTAGCGGTGTTTATAGTATTCTCTGATGGTAGTTTGTATTTCTGTGGGATCGGTGGTGATCTCCCCTTTATCATTTTTTATTGCCTCTGTTTGATTCTTCTCTCTTTTCTTGTTAGTCTTGCTAGCAGTCTATCAATTTTGTTGATCTTTTCAAAAAACCAGCTCCTGGATTCATTGATTTTTTGAAGGGCTTTTTGTGTCTCTGTTTCCTTCAGTTCTGCTCTGATCTTAGTTATTTCTTGCTTCTGCTAGCTTTTGAATATGTTTGCTCTTGCTTCTGTAGTTCTTTTAATTGTGATGTTAGGGTGTTAATTTTAGATCTTTCCTGCTTTCTCTTGTGGGCATTTAGTGCTATAAATTTCCCTCTAACACACTGCTTTAAATGTGTCCCAGAGATTCTGGTATGTTGTGTCTTTGTTCTCGTTGGTTTCAAAGAAGATCTTTATTTCTGCCTTCATTTTGTTATGTAGCCAGTAGTCATTCAGGAGCAGGTTGTTCAGTTTCCATGTAGTTGAGTGGTTTTGAGTGAGTTTCTTAATCTTGAGTTCTAGTTTGATTGCACTGTGGTCTGAGAGACAGTTTGTTATAACTTCTGTTCTTTTACATTTGCTGAGGAGTGCTTTACTTCCAACTATGTGGTCAATTTTGGAATAAGTGTGATGTGGTGCTGAGAAGAACGTATATTCTGTTGATTTGGGGTGGAGAGTTCTGTAGATGTCTATTAGGTCTGCTTGGTGCAGAGCTGAGTTCAATTCCTGGATATCCTTGTTAACTTTCTGTCTCGTGGATCTGTCTAATGTTGACAGTGGGGTGTTACAGTCTCCCATTATTATTGTGTGGGAGTCTAAGTCTCTTTGTAGGTCTCTAAGGACTTGCTTTATGAATCTGGGGGCTCCTGTATTGGGTGCATATATATTTAGGTTAGTTAGCTGTTCTTGTTGAATTGATCCCTTTACCATTATGTAATGGCCTTCTTTGTCTATTTTGATCTTTGTTGGTTTAAAGTCTGTTTTATCAGAGATTAGGATTGCAACCCCTGCCTTTTTTTGTTTTCCATTTGCTTGGTAGATCTTCCTCCATCCCTTTATTCTGAGCCTGTGTGTGTCTCTGCACGTGAGATGGGTTTCCTGAATATAGCACACTGATGGATCTTGACTCTTTATCCAATTTGCCAGTCTGTGTCTTTTAATTGGAGCATTTAGCCCATTTACATTTAAGGTTAATATTGTTATGTGTGAATTTGATCCTGTCATTATGATGTTAGCTGGTTATTTTGCTCGTTAGTTGACGCAGTTTCTTCCTAGCCTTGATGGTCTTTACAATTTGGCATGGTTTTACAGTGGCTGGTACCGGTTGTTCCTTTCCATATTTAGTGCTTCCTTTAGGAGCTCTTGTAGGGCAGGCCTGGTGGTGACAAAATCTCTCAGCATTTGCTTGTCTGTAAAGGATTTTATTTCTCCTTCACTTATGAAGCTTAGTTTGGCTGGATATGAAATTCTGGGTTGAAAATTCTTTTCTTTAAGAATGTTGAATATTGGCCCCCACTCTCTTCTGGCTTGTGGAGTTTATGCCAAGAGATCAGCTGTTAGTCTGATGGGCTTCCCTTTGTGGGTAACCCGACCTTTGTCTCTGGCTGCCCTTAACATTTTTTCCTTCATTTCAGCTTTGGTGAATCTGACAATTATGTGTCTTGGAGTTCCTCTTCTCGAGGAGTATGTTTGTGGCACTCTCTGTATTTCCTGAATTTGAATGTTGGCCTGCCTTGCTCGATTGGGGAAGTTCTCCTGGATAATATCCTGCAGAGTGTTTTCCAACTTGGTTCCATTCTCCCCATCACTTTCAGGTATACCAATCAGACATAGATTTGGTCTTTTCACATAGTCCCATATTTCTTGGAGGCTTTGTTTGTTTCTTTTTATTCTTTTTTCTCTAAACTTCTCTTCTCGCTTCATTTCATTCATTTGATTTTCCATCACTGATACCCTTTCTTCTAGTTGATCGAATCGACTACTGAGGCTTGTGCATTTGTCACATAGTTCTCATGCCATGGTTTTCAGCTCCATCAGGTCATTTAAGGACTTCTCTGCATTGGTTATTCTAGTTAGCCATTCATTTAATCTTTTTTCAAGGTTTTTAACTTCTTTGCCATTGGTTTGAACTTCCTCCTTTAGCTCAGAGAAGTTTGATCATCTGAATCCTTCTTCTCTACTCGTCAAAGTCATCCTCCATCCAGCTTTGTCCCGTTACTGGTGAGGAGCTGCGTTCCTTTGGAGGAGGAGAGGCACTCTGATTTTTAGAATTTTGAGTTTTTCTGCTCTGTTTTTCCCCATCTTTGTGGTTTTATCTGCCCTTGGTCTTTGATGATGGTGACATACAGATGGGGTTTTGGTGTGGATGTCCTTTCTCTGTTTGTTAGTTATCCTTCTAACAGCCAGGACCCTCAGCTGAAGGTCTGTTGGAGTTTGCTGGAGGTCCACTCCGGACCTTGTTTGCCTGGGTGTCAGCAGTGGAGGCTGCAGAACAGCGAATATTGAGGAACAGCAAATGATGCTGCCTGATTGTTCCTCTGGAAGTTTTGTGTCAGAGGAGTAGCCGGCCATGTGAGGTGTCAGTCTGCCCCTACTGGGTGGTGCCTCCCAGTTAGGCTACTTGGGGGTCAGGGACCCACTTGAGGAGGCAGTCTGTCAGTTCTCAGATCTCAAACTGTGTGCCGGGAGAACCACTACTCTCTTCAAAGCTGTCAGACAGGGACATTTAAGTCTGCAGAGGTTTCTGCTGCCTTTTGTTTGGCTATGCCCTGCCCCCAGAGGTGGAGTCTACAGAGGCAGGCAGGCCTCCTTGAGCTGCGGTGGGCTCCACCCAGTTAGAGCTTCCCAGCCACTTTGTTTACCTACTCAAGCCTGGGCAATGGCGGGCGCCCCTACCCCAGCCTCGCTTCAGCCTTGCAGTTTGATCTCAGACTGCTGTGCTAGCAATGAGCGAGGCTCCATGGGCATAGGACCCTCCGAGCCAGGTGCAGGATATAATCTCCTGGTGTGCCGTTGGCTAAGACCATTGGAAAAGCGCAGTATTAGGGTGGGAGTGACCTGATTTTCCAGGTGCAGCCTGTCATCCCTTTCCTTGGCTAGGGGAGGGAATTCCCTGACCCTTTGCACTTCCTGGGTGAGGCAATGCCTTGCCCTGCTTCGGCTCACACTTGGTGCACTGCACCCACTGTCCTGCACCCACTGTCCGACAATCCCCAATGAGGTGAGCCTGATACCTCAGTTGGAAATGCAGAAATCCTTCGTATTCTGCATCACTCACGCTGGGAGCTGCAGACTGGAGCTGTTTCTATTCGGCCATCTTGGCTCCACCCCCTATTAATGCAGTTTTTGTGCCTCATTAATGACCCATTTGATTTAATAGTTCTTAAAACTTGTGATGAATCAACAGTGATGGAAAGTTGTACTGAATCATATCTTTTTTTATTACTATGAATTATATTGTTAGAGATTGGCTTTAAAATTGAAGTTACACTAATGCATTTTAAATGTAATTTGGAGCTAGTTTAGAATTGTTGAAGCTAGGACTCTCTGGTGACTCAGGAATAGTAGAAATTGGTGGGGAAGGCATTTCACATCAAGCCTGGAATCTCCCTTTATTCTCAATGTATTAGCTTTTCTTATTTTTACCCTGAAATTTTCACTATCAAATATATTTGAGAGGCAAATCTTTTTCCTCCTTTAATGTTTGTTTCATACACATAGAATAATACTGTGTGTCTGAGATTCAGTTTTTGAAATGAAACATGGAGTGTAAGTGACCCCTTGTCGATGTGACAATGGACTGGTCTAGATCACAGCAGTTGGGCCCCATATTGTGACATGGATGCTTGCGAAAATTCTACTGTGACCTGTTGCTGAGGTGATCTGATGATATAGGTCTTGCCTTTCATTTTAACTGCCATTCTGGCAACTGAACGTTGGCAGTAAACGCAGCTTAGTTGTCTCAGAGGACTCACAATGGGATGTGTTTATAGTTGTTGCCTTGAAGGTATGTATGTTCATTTCCATCTTCTGACTGCAATTTCTTCAGATGAGCCAGTTTTCCTGTATGTTAAATGTCATTCTGATTTTTTTAATTTCCCCAGCTCCTATTTGTCTACAGATTTATAAATATGTTTCAGAGTTTTATTACTCAATTTGTGTTTTTTTATTCTTCTATCAAGATTTTTGCCTCAAATACTTTTCTCTAGAAAATACACTGTTTCCAATGCCAATTTTTTTTTTTTTTTTTGGAAGAGTGAAGAGTCTTGCTCTGTTGCCTAGGCTAGAATGCAGTGGTGTGATAATGACTCACAGCAACCTCCACCTCCCAGGTTTAAGCAATTCTCCTGCCTCAGCCTCCTGAGTAGCTGGGATTACAGGCATCCGCCACCACGCCTGGCTAATTTTCGTATGTTTAGTAGAGACAGGGTTTTACCATGTTGGCAAGGGAGGTCTTGAACTCCTGACCTCCTGATCCACCTTCCTTGGCCTCCCAAAGTGATGGGATTACAGGCATGAGCCACAGTGCCTGGACTTTTCTTTTTTTTTTTTTTTTTTTTTTTTGGCAGAGTCTCATTCTGTCACCCAGGCTGGAGTGCAGTGGCACAATCTCAGCTCTTTGCAACCTCTGCATCCCAGGTTCAAGCGATTCTCCTGCCTCAGCCTCCCAAGTAGCTGGGACTACGGGTGCCTGCCACCATGCCTGGCTAATTTTTGTATTTTTAGTAGAGACAGGGTTTCACCATATTGACCAGGCTGGTCTTGAACTCCTGACCTTGTGATCTGCCCACCTTGGCCTCCCAAAGTGCTGGGATACAGGTGTGAGCCACCACACCCGGCCTCCCCCGCCACACACACTCTTTCATAGACTAGATACAGAATAAACTGCTGAAAAATCCACTGGGGGGCCACATTTTCAGTTAATTCCCATTAATTGCTTCTTCAGAATGGTTCAGTTGAAGGGAAGTTTATTCTTGGCACAGCCATCAAGTGGTAGTTAGTTTGGAATGTCCTAAGTTCCGAACTACCTTGGGGGCCAAGCAGAACTTGGTCCCTTGCTGTGGTCAGTTGGTCATGGAGGGGTGCTCACTGCCAGACAGCTGACAATACAGGGCAATGGGTAGGATGACCAGACATTTGAATTTGTTCCTCAGAGAGGCTTCGTTTGCGGGAAAGTGCCATATTTTAGCCCAGGAGTTAAAACCTAGAGACAGGAGTTTTGTTTTGTTAAATGATTTGGCTTTTTTCTGGACTCACCACCTCTTCCAAATACATCAACCTTCCTGAAGAGCCCTTGGTGCAGGAGGATTGAGAAAGGGCGTGGAAAGAGCTCCAGGTTCAGGGTCCAGGCCATGATTTAGAGGCCTCAGGTATTCAGGGATCTCTGTCCCCAGAAAACCAACCAAATTCTTGTCGCAGATCTATCATTCGTCAGTGTTGTGACCCTAGGCAGGTCGCTTCAAATCTCTTCATTTCACTTCCCTGAACCGTCAACTCT
This sequence comes from Homo sapiens, assembly GCF_000001405.40. Taxonomy (NCBI): domain Eukaryota; kingdom Metazoa; phylum Chordata; class Mammalia; order Primates; family Hominidae; genus Homo; species Homo sapiens. The sequence continues at coordinate 177,751,684 of NC_000005.10, read as the reverse complement.
GAGTGGCAGCCCCTGCTCTGCCCATCTCTCTGGGCCGATGTGGGCATCACAGGAAATTCAAACAAAAACTTTTCACGAGTTCTAAAGCATGAGACCCATGTCAAGAATGAAAAGAATTTTAGCCTCCACTGCCCTGGAGTCCCCCAAGTGGCTTCTCTATTAACCACTACCAAGGGCCTGGCTTATTCTTCCAGACATGAAATAATTGAACACTTTGTGGCACTTAGGAAGCACCCGTTTTAAGGCTTTAGGTCCATTTAACTCTTCTTACCCTTTTAACATAACGTAGGCCATTAGGAGGCACAGAGGGATCTATAGAACTTCCTCAGGTTCTAGCAGCTTCTCAGAAGTCCCTGAGCTCAGATCCTATGCTCCGGACCCTATGCTCTTGGTCACTCCAATCTACTACCTTTCTGTAATGTCTCATCTCAATACAGGCATTTGCCTGCACACTTATACGTGCAACCCACAGTGCAAGTCTTTCTGAAGCCCAACTCAGATTCAGGGGGCTTTGCTCTGCAGATGATGAACAATGGAATCAAACATTTAAGCTGTGAATAAATAATTACTCATTTCTCTGATCTTTTGCGGCAAGACACCAACACCTGTCTTTATTTTAATTCATTTCCCAGTGTGTTGTGGCGAGGATGAAATAGTGTATCCTAGGATGCCAGGGGAATCCACCGTCTGCCACCGCGAGCGTGAGAAGCCAATCACCTATCACTGGTATCACTGGCATCCCGGCCATATATACCCTAGAATTGCATCAATGGAAGGTGTTGTGGAAATTCAGTCATTCAGTTCATTCATGATATGATTTCTAGATTCTTCAGTGTCTCATATTTCAGACAATTATAAAATTGCGATGCTATATTCTTTATTTCATGTGTGCATATTTAAATGTGTTAAGTCAATCACTAGTGCTACAACCAGAGGAGTAAAGGTGTATTTCCATTCCAGATTTGGGTTTACTTTTAATAGTAAATAACATCTCAGTGCAAATTGTAGACATTTTGCTGATTGTTAAAACATTAATTAAAAAGGATCTTTTTCTGAGACAGTGTTGCCAGGTTTGTAAAGTAATGGACATCACTTCAAACTGTTTGGAAGTAACCGAAAAATGGAGGAAGTGGCAACAAAAATTTCCATATACCCACCTTCCTCAGTGTTTTTTGGTGATCCCATCTTTGTGAGTGTGATAACGCTCGTAACAATGACTGAGCCAATAGTGATACATTCTTATGAACAGAAGTCCAAGGTTAGCATCAGTGACTGAGCCAATAGTGATACATTCTTATGAACAGAAATCTAGGGTTAGCATCAAGGTTCACTCTGTGTTGTCCAGCCTATGGGTTTTGACAAACTGACAATGTCTTTTGTCACCCTGACGGAATAATTTCACATCCTAAACATGACCTGAGCTGCATCTACTAATTCCTCTCCTTTTCTGAGGATTCCTGACAACTATGGATGATTTTTACTGCCTCTATAGGTTTCCTTTTCCAGAATTTTATAGAGTTGGAATCATAGAGTATGTAGCTACGTATAACTAACTTATTTTACTTAGCAATATACATGTAAGATCTTTTGTATCGTTTTGAAGCTTAACAGCTTAATAATTCTTATCAGTGAACAATAGTCCATTGGTTTCATCGAACAGGGTTAGTTGGTTCACTCACTGCCTGAAGACCATCTGAGCTGCTTCCAATTTGGGTAATTATGAATAAAGCTGCCCACATTCTTGTGCAGATTTTAAGATGAACATAATTTTCTAATTTAGCTGGGTAAATATGTAGAATTTTGATCACTTGCTGGTAAGACTATGTTTTCCATTGTGTTAGGCAGAATTCACCAGTACAATTATGTGGGCATTTTTTTTTTAAGTTATTACTTCCTGATTAAATTCTATAATGATAGAGGCCTACTCAGATTATCTATCTCTCCTTTGGGTGGTTATGGTAGTTTCTCCCTTTGAAGGCATTTGTCCATTTCATCTAAGCTAGGAAATTTGTGGGTATAGACACTTGAATCTGACAAGTTGCCTGCTTGGTTCTCATCAAAGGCTGCTGTGCTTCCTGTCATTCCTACTCTCAAACATTTCAATAGACTTTCACTCCTGCACTTAAAAAATTGCAGGCATAGATTTGTTGAAAGTATTCTGTTATTATTTTCTTAATGATTATGGGATCAGCAAGGATAATTCCTCTTCTATTCATATTGTTTGTACATCGTGTCTTCTCTATTTTCTTTGTGATTAGCCTTGCTGGAGGTTTACCAATTCTATTGATCTTTTCTAAGAAGCAGCTTTTGGTTTTGTTGAGTTTCTTTATTTTATTATTTCTATTACATTGATTTCTGCAAATATTGTTATATTTTGGGGGAGGAGGGTTGCCTGGTTTACATTACACTATACTTTTTTCTCTAGTTTCCTAAGGTGGGAAGTAAGACATCTGGATTTGGATTACATTTAGTTTACTGCACAGAATTGTGAATGGCACTGATGCCCCTGAAGTGTGCACTTGATTATTAAAATAATAAATACGATGTATTTTGGCCACAATACTGATTTTAAAGCCAATTAAATGGATGATAAGTACAGGAGGAGCATATGTAGATCAAGGAAAGATAAATGACATTATAACATTTCAACAACAAAAGAAATTTACCGGGCCTCAAAATGCACAAGGGGGTGATGGGACACTGTCATGAAATCAGCAGTGCATTTGTGTGCCACCCTGTGTGAACTCTGCCTTTTTCGCAGTGGTGTGGGGGCTTAGCCAGAGAACCAGGTCCTGACTTCTGTGGCTTCCTGATGGTCTCATTTGCCTTCCCTCATCACCCAGGAGGGTGTCCCAGTGGAAGCCAAGTTTCTACCCTTAACCCACCTCCTTTACACATGCCAGCCCCCTGTCCTTAGCATCCAAGGTTGCCTAAGGGATTCCTTCAGTGGAACCAACATGATGACAGTTACTCTGTGTTTCCTAGATTACGATGAGGACCTGGTGCAGGAAGCTTCATCTGAAGATGTCCTGGGCGTTCATATGGTAAGTTCTTCTTTATGTTTCTGAGATGGAAATTTTGTTGCTCTTGGTTCTTTTTTATTTTATTTGAATTGAGATATGAAAATCTTACCATGTACATTATAGATGACTTACAGAATATTTTGGTGGGAAAATGTGAGGGTCATTACCAGGTAAGAAATGATCTCAGATGGCATTCTTAGATGACACCTTCAGTTATGAACTGTATGGCAGAAAGAATTTTTGTTAGGGGAAAAGCTTTCTTCTTACAACATTGTGACTATACAACCAAAACAATCTTGAAAGTCTTGCATAAAAATCTTGTGCCTTTCCAGAAGTGTCTTCGAGGCTTTAGGACCATTGCCTCAACCACTGTCTCCCATCTGCTTTTCTAATGTCACCAAGTAAAGAAAAGACTTGTATGGTGAAACCCCATCTCTACTAAAAATACAAAAATTAGCTGGGCATGCTGACCGGCTACTGTAATCTCAGCTACTGGGGAGGCTAAGGGAGCAGGATCGCTTGAGGCCAGGAGGCGGATGTTGCAGTGAGCCATGATCATGACACTGTACTCCAGCCTGGGTGACAGAGCGAAATTCCAGCAAAGAAAGGGAGAGAGGGAGTAGGGGAGAGAGAGAGAGAGAGAGAGAGAGGCAGGAAGGAAGGAAGAAGGGAAGGGAAGAAGGAAGAGAAAGAAGGAAGGGAAAGAAAGAAGGAAGGAAAGAGAAAAAGAGAAAGAAAGAAAAAGAAAGAAAAGAAAGGAAAGAAAGAAAGAGAAAAGAAGGAAGGGAGGGAGGGAAAAGGAAAACCTGTGCACACAGGACACAGCATGGTCTGACCCTTGTAGTGTTTTGTTTTTCTCTAAATGCAGGTGGACAAAGACACAGAGAGAGACAGTACGTATTCTGGAATCACCCCTATGCTGAGGAAAAATTCTAGTGTTGACAAAGGTGACACTTTCTTGCCTCATTTTTTCTGGAGAGCCACTCTGGTTTGAACTTCCTGCCAGAAATGTGGTTCAAGCACTTTTGTCTTGACAAGTGAAGAACCTGGTCAAGAAATGTGACTGTTGACTCTGGTGCTTGGAAGGAACAGGGTCATTTGGATAGAAGAGGGTGTTGTGAATCAGAGTTGGGAGGTATGGAGGAATGACTCAATGTGGAATGATTGTGAATGTCTCTGCGAGTTTGTGTGCTTTTCCCCAGAAAATACGTTCCCATATGCAAAGCACAACACAAAGATTGATATTCTAGAAACAAAATTTGATCACCACTGCATTTTTGCAAAAAATCAACCCATTCATTCCTCACCACAGCTGTAGCTGAAGGTAAGTTTAATATCCCAAGTCCTCACATGGAGATGATGTAGAGATGAATTTTTCAGGCTTTTGGTCTCCTAAATGGAAATGGCATAGATGAACTCAGGAATGGGTGGAAGGGTGATGCTGTGGGCTACTAGTCTGAAGTTATAACATGGCCCTGGTGTAACTTGTCACCATGTCAGAGAGTCCTTAGCATCTATGTGTATGTGGAAGTATGTTGGCCTATAAAGATCTCCAGCACTGTATACCACAATAGAATGGTCTCAATGGTCAGCTGACCCAGAGTTTGAGTAGGTTCATTGTACAGTGAACTTGGGTGCGGTCATTAATATGAAACATACAGAGGGAGCTGCCAGGCCTTTGGTCTTAAGTGATGGGGTATTCCTCAGTTCCTGGTCAAGGGCAGAGAACATTCAGAGATATATTCTATTATATTTAATGAGATCATCACCACAAACGTTAGAAATGCTCCAATTCAGTAGCACACATACCCAAGACACAGCACCCAACAAGATCTCACAGAGCCAATTGGCTGTTAGCCTGGTGCCCATCTCGTCTGCTGGAATCTCTGCACAGCTGGGTAACAGAGGGTCAGCGCCCCCACCTGCTGTCACCCATGAAGGGCTGTCCCATTCCTGGAGCCAGTGTGAGTATGAGCAACAGCGGGCCCCATGACACACACACACAGTGTTAAAAGAAAGAGCAGAAGGACAAATATCACAGGCTAAGTAGAGGTCATCTTTAAATGGTAGGATAATTGAGTATTTTCAAATCTTGGTTTAGTCTTCTTTGAAACAAAAGGTTAGTGAATATGTAGAATATTTTGGCTAGAATTATATCACCTCTTTGAAGAAAGGTTGCTTTTTACCTCGTACAAAATGTTCTGGCTGGAGACGGTGGCTCATGCCTGTAATCCCAGTGCTTTGGGAGGCCAAGGAGGGTGGATTACCTAAGGTCAGGAGTTCAAGACCAGCCTGATCAACATGGAGAAACCCCATCTCTACTAAAAATACAAAATTAGCTGGGCATGGGAGCACATGTCTCTAATACCAGCTACTCAGGAAGCACATGTCTTTAATACCAGCTACTCAGGGAGCACATGTCTGTAATACCAGCTACTCAGCTACCCATTCATCGTCCACCACAGCTGTACCTGAAGATAAGTTTAATATCCCCAGTCCTCGGATGGACATGCTGCAGAGTTGAATTTCCCAAGCTCTTGGTCTTTTAAATGGAAGAGGCACATGTGAACTCGGGAATGAGTGGAAGGTTAATGCCATGGGCTACTACACTGAATTTGTCACAAAGCCCTGGTATAATTTCTTGCTAGGCCAAGTTATTCCAGCACTTCTGTGTGCTGGAAGAATGAAAACCTATTCAGATCCCAAACACTATCATTATCGGATGGTCTCAATGGTCAGCTAACCCAGGGTTTGTTTGAGTAGGTACATTGCACAGTGGGCTTTAGTGTGATCATTAATGTAAAACACACAGAGTCCTCAGGCTTTTGGTCTACAGCGTTGAGGTCATTCCTCAGCTCCTGTTCAAAAGCAGACAATAATCAGTGACATACTCTATTGTATTTAAGGAGATAATCACCGCAAGTCTTAGAAATTCAGTGGAAACCAATCCCAACACATAGCATCCAATAAAATCTCAAGACTCAACTTGGGTGTTAGCCTGGCACCCATTTTCCCTGCTGGAATCTCTGCACAGCTGGGTTGGAGAGGGTCAGTGCCCACCCCTTGCCCCGCCTCGCTGCTCCCCATGACAGACTGTCTCTGTGCTGGAGTCAGTGTGAGCATGAGCAGCAGTGAACTCCATGGTGCACACACATGGTGTTGAAAAGGAAGAGCGGAAGAACAAATATCACATGCTAAGTAGGGGTCATCGTTAAATGGTAGGATAATAGAGTATTTTCAAATCTCTGTTTATTTGCCTTGTAACAGAAAGTTAGTAATAAAATCTTTTGGCTAGAATTAAATCTCCTATTTTAAGAAAGGTTACTTCTTGTTTAGTACAAAATCTTCTAGAAGGGATGATAAACAGATCAGCAGCACATGTGGATTCTGAGGAGGAAATGACTTTGGCAGGGATCAATAAGAGGGCAAGTTAGCTCAGGTCAGATTAGGAAGGAGGAGCCCTAAGAGGCTGCCAGGGACACACAGCCTGCACTGCTGGTGTGCACTGTTTGAGATTGGCTATTATATGTTTATGAGGCGGCCTGGAGCTAGGAAGCCAAAGGCCCTGATTCCCTTTCTTCCTGCATCTCTCCTGTGCCTGCTACCCTCCTCCCAAGCCCACCTCAAGCAGTGTTACTGAATTGTTCATGAGCGCCACCACCAAGGTGCTGACGGTCACTCTGTATCCTCCTAGTTGAGATGAAACGGCAACTACGGCGACTACGGGAGCTCCACCTATACAGCACATGGAAGAAGTACCAAGAGGCGATGAAGGTCAGGCCACCTGGATTTGTCTGAGAAAAAACTGTTGCTTTCTTAGCTTTATCTTATTTGGATTACATTAAGATATGAGACTCTGACAATATGTATCTTAGTTACACAGTGTCCTTGGGGGGAATTGTAAGTGAGAGTCTGTCCCCACTGAGGCTTGATTTAAAACAGTGGGAGAAAATGACAGCATCAGTCACACATTGTGGGGCAGGGAGCTTTTGCCTTACTAATTTTGTTCTCTCTTTGGAGCAAAATCAGTTACTTGCCAACCAACATGGACTTGAGAGGAAATATCCTCTGAGAAAAATTTGTGTCTTTAGTATGAGTTGATTTGCTCTGTTCTTCTTTGGGGTTCCTTTGAACACTGGTTTTTCCATCTTGTTTTCTAATGTCACTAAGTGAAGAAAAGTCCTGTGCTCACAGGACACAGCATGGTCTGATGCTCATAGCAATTTATTTTCTGTCGTTACAGACATCCTTGGGAGTTCCACAATGTGGTACGTATTGGGGAACCCCTCTCATACTGATGAGTAATCTAGATGTTGAGGAATGTGGCCCTGTCTCACAGGCTTTCCTGTAGACAGGCAGCCTGAGCTGAGCTTCATGTTGTGAATGAGGACCTAGACTGTGATGGGAGAAATGGTTTTTCTAGATAAGAAACAGTGGCCACATTCTGCAGTCCCCGGGAACAACTGTGTTCTCTGAAGGTGGGGTGGGATCCCGTGCAAGGGGCCTGCCATGTCTTTTGTGAATTCATGTGGTGCCATGGTCCGTGTGTCTGGCGGGCGGGTGTGTGGGTTTCCATACTACATATCCCCAGAGTTTCTAGTGTCCACATTCTCAACAGAGATTTCCGTCACCATTGCGGTCCTATTGTAGGCACAAAAAAAGATTAACTTGTAAGCTTCCAATGTTTGCAGTTTATTTCATGCACAGGGCACTTCAATAAACCTAAAAGAAATCCTGTCAACACAAAGGCAAATTCTTACTGCACACCCATAGAACAGGACTGTGTCAGAATCTCTGCTGATTTTATTTTTTCATTCAGAATTCCCTGCTATACTTTATTTTCTAATAAACCTCACCTCTTCACAGGCCTTTCTATTTCCTCTGCCACTGGAGTGGTCATGACACCTCACTCTAGCCCCTTCCCTCCTTTACAAGCCTTTTATCTACCAAAGCCCTCAGAATTGACCCTCCACCACCCATCTTGAGCAGGGAGAGTGGGGCAGGGCTTCTTCCTGTGCATTTAGACCCTGGAGCAGCCTCATGCTACAGCGAGTTCTGCTGGGAAACTGAGAAGAGAGGAGCCTGCAGGTGGGGTTGGGGTGAAATCACCCCAACTTTCTCCATTGAGGCCTCATATTGACCATAAGATAATGGGGCCCAGAATGGATAATTCCAGGGTCATATAGAGTTTCAGCCTTCTATCCCTCAGCCTAGTCATGGTTTCTGTGTGCTCGGCTCAGAAACTACATGAAAAGAAAACCAAGGGGTTTGCCCTAGGGTCTGAGAGGCAGGGCGAGCACTTGCCTTCCTAGCATGATGGAGGGTGGCTCATGCACTGCAGGTGGGAAAGCAAACTCGGCTGTGGTACTGCAGAGGCTCCACGATGTCCCCATTCAACCGACTGTTGGCAAAGGTGCTTGTTTGTTTCTGAAGGCTGTTGCAAAAAAAAAAAAAACAAAACAAAAAAAAAACAAGTGAATGCAGTTGGTTTCGGTGAATAGGAATATAAACTCAGCCAAATTTAGCTTGAGTTTTTTCTTGGAGTATGCATTTGGTGGAAACTTATTGTGTATAAATCAAATTTGATTGCTGTGTAGGTGTCATTACTTATCCCACGTTGTAAAACAATCAGGCTGGTGTGATTTGAAAATGTCCTTCACTAACCTCAGACACTGTCCCCTCATAACCCGATTCCCCTAGTCATCTTTAATCTCTAGAATATAGTTTCTTGTGGTACTCAGGGGGCTTTCTGCTGTGAGCGATTAAAGGTACAAATCAGTGTTACCAACATTGGGGCTCTAAAAATTCATAGACAGCTGCCCGTTGGGCTCTATGCGAGAGACAGCAGGCTACAGCCTTGGCCTGGGCCTGCAGAGGAACATGATTTGGAGGAGCAGAAGGAAGGCATGAGGGCAGCAAAGCCACGAGGGAAGCCAAGGTGCAACATCAGGAGAGTCAGTTCTACATCACCTGGGCACGGCCGGAATGTTCAAGCCTCATCTGAAGGAGGAGTTGAGCTCCGACTTCATGGCTGGCCTGAACATTGGCCATCTTCCCAAAAGCCTGGACAGAGGAGCTACTTTCTTGTTTCTTGTCTTCTCCATCTCCCTGTGTGTTGACAGCAATGGCACCACCAGAAATTAGTGAGAGACAGAGAACAGGAGTGAGTTCCTGAAATGTTCAACTTAGCCCAGAGAGGACATGATCATTAGGGATGGACTTCAGGGTCAGGCCAGACACAGAGTAGTTGCCAGGCTTGATCACCCTGTGGCTGGGACAAAGATCAGCTTCTGGGAGTCGCTGGACAGGTGGTCCTTGTGTAGCTACTATTGGCCAAGAGTGTCCTGGCCCAGAGTTCCGTTTTACTGGAGGGAGCCTCAGCTCCAAGGCAGGGCAGCTGCCCAATGCTAGTGTTGGAGGAGGCGAGGAGGGGACCTTGCTCTAAGGCAGGCTGAACTCAACAAAGGGAGAGGGGCTGCCCTGGAGTTTAGGTGGTCCTTGCAACCCTCCCGCGTGATCCATAAGAGATCAGTTTCTCTGAGACAGCCTTGCAATCATCAGTCCCAAAGTCTGTAGTCTCCTACTCACAGGTGGAGGAATCCTGGCCATGGCTGGTCACTGGGAGGGCAGGGACTGTGTCCTCATCCTTCTTTCTCATCCCAGAGCTCAGCTCTGGGCAGCCCATCTTGGGCCCCAGTGATGTTCCGATGCCTGCATTCCTGTTCTGAGATCTAGCACAAGTGTGCAAAAACTTTCTGCTCATTTTCTATAGTCTCCGGGTTCCCACACTTACCCAGTTACCTGCGTGGGTTGTAATCCAGGGTCGGGGAGAAGAGGGTGGGCTCCTCAAACAGTGAGGTTTTCTCTTCTCTGCCCCTGCGGTTCTGGTCTGTCTGTTCCTGAAGTGTGCACTGAATGATTACAATAATAAATTTTGTATATGTTTTACCACAACAATGTCTGAAGTTCAATAAAATGAATGGAAAGTGCAAGAGAGGCATATGTAGACCCAGGAAAGATAAATGACATTGTCACATTTCAACAGGAAAGTGGAAATTTCCCAGGCCTCAAAACGCATAGGGGAATGATGAGACACTGCCATGGCATCAGCAGTGCATGTCTGTGCTGCCAAGGCTCTGTCTTCCGTGGTTTCCTGATGGTCTCATTGACCTTTCTTCATCACCAAGGAGGATGTTCTGGCAGGAGGTCCTTTTTTGTAGTTAACCCCCCTTGTCTACATGTGCCAGCCCCGTGTTTTTAGCACACAAGTCTGCCTGACGGATTCCTTCAGTGCACCCAACGTGCTGACAATTACTCTGTGTTTCCTAGAGCGTGACGAAGGCTCCTTGGGCAAGCCATTGTGTCCACCCGAGATACTCTCGGAGACGTTGCCAGGCTCTGTGAAGGTAAAGTCTTTTTTGTTTATCTGAGGTGGGAATTTTATTTCTCTTAGTTTCCATAGAAATTGAGATAAGAGATGATCATCTTACCATGTACATTATAGATGACTTACAGAATGTCTTGGTGGGCAGCTGTAAAGTCAGAGTCAATTACCAGCAAGAATGAATTCAAGATGACAGGTTCACTTAAAAACTCTAGGGCAGTAAGCATTTTCCATAGGAGAAGTGCTTCCTTCTTGAAACTAATGGTGAACATGCAATGAAAATAAACTTGGAAATCATGCACAGAAAATTTGTGCCTTTCCACGTGCCCTCTAGGCTTTAATTTGGAGCCCTTGTGTTGACTATTTTCACTATTTCCATTGGGTTTTCTATAATGTCAACAATGCAGAAAAGACCTGTGCACACAGGCCACAGTGTGGTCTGACTCTCATAATGTTTTTCTTTTCTCTATTTGCAGAAAAGGGTATGCTTTCCATCAGAAGGTATGTATTCTGGGTTTACTCTTTTTATTGTTTTTATTTTGCTTGCAATTCTAGGATGCATGTGTAGAACATGCAGCTTTGTTACATTGGTATAAATGTGTCATGGTGGTTTGCTGCACCTAAGCCTTGATCATGGCACTGCATTCTAGCCTGGGCAACACAGTGAGATTTCATCTCAAAAAAAAAAAATGCAGAGAACAATCAGGGACATATTCTGCTATGTTTAATAACATGATGGCCACAAGTGTTCCACATGCCCTTATTCAGCCCACACATCCAATACACAGTGCAGAATAAGAGCTCAAGGAAGAATTGGGGTGTTATTCTGGTGTCCATCACCCCAGTGGGATTTCCTGCACAGCTAGTTTGGAGAGTGTTAGCGCCCCCACCTACTGCCCCCCATGATGATCTGTCCTAGTGCTGGAGTCAGCGTGAGCATGAACAGCAACTGACTCCATGGACACATACATCGTGTTGAAAAGGAAGAGTGGAAGGACAAATAAGCTAAGTGCGGGTCATTTTTAAATGGTAGGATAATTGAGTATTTTCAAATCTTGGTTTAATTCTGTTTGACTCAAAGGTTCAGTGAAGTCATAAGTTTTTTTGACTTCAGGGTCAGGCCAGACACAGAGTAGTTGCCAGGCTTGATCACCAAAGGTTAAATTTTTTTGAAGAAAGGTTGCTTTTATGCAGTACAAAATGTTTTAGGAGGGATGATGAACAGCAGCAGCACATGTGGATCCTGAGGGGGAAATGACCTCAGAAGGGATCACAAAGGGAGGGCAAGTTAGCTCAGGTCAGATTAGGAAGGAGGAACCTGAGACGTTGTAGGGAAGCACAGCCTGCCCCTATGGTGTGCCATCTTTGAGATCAGCTGAGTGCCATTGATGAGCTTGCGTTAGCCAGAGGACCAACGCTCTAGTTCCCATGGCTTTCCTCGTTGTCTCATTTGCCTGCCTGCACCACCAAGGAGAAAGGGCCTGCGGCTCCGTCTGGGGTAGCCAACCTTCTTCACACATGCCAGCCTCATGTCCACACCACCCAATACAACCCGAGGGATTCCCTCAGCGGAATCCATGCAGTGACACTTACCCTATTTCTCCTAGATCATCTAGAGGAGTTTATAGCAGAACATCTCCCTGAAGCATCCAATCAGAGTCTCCTCACTGTTGCCCATGTAAGTTGTTCTTTTTTTGTCTGAAAGGGGAATTTCATTTTCCTAGGTTTCTTTCAATTTCACTTGAATAAAGATAGGAAAATCTTACTGCCATGTACATTTTAGATGACTTACAGAATTTCTTGGTGGGAAAATGTAAAATGAGAATTCATTACTAACTAAGAACTGATTGAAGATGGCATTCATAGATGACAGCTTCAGTTACAAACTATGTCAGCAAGCATTGTCCTCAGGAGAAAAACCTTTTTGAGAATTATGAATTTGCAACCAAAATAAATTTTAAATAATCTTGCACAAAAACCTGGTGCCTTTCTACAAGTGTTCTCTAGGCTTTATTTTTGTGGCCATTGCCTCCACCAGAATTTCCCATCTGGTTTTCTAATAGCACCAAGTTTAGAAAAGACCTGTGCACAGAGACAGCATGATCTTACCCTCATGGTGTTTTTCTTTCTCTAAACGCAGGCAGACGCAGGCACCCAAACCAACGGTATGTATTCTGGGATCACCTTTTTGCTAAGGAAAAATCTTAGTGTTGAGAAAGGTGACACGTTCTTGCCTGCGTTTTCTGGAGAACCACTCTCATTGGAGCTTCCTATTGGAAAATGGGGTTTGGGAAGAAATTTCTAAGAGTGTACTGACGAGTGGTGACCATCCTACGTAGTCTCTGTTAGCTGCCGTGTCATTCTATGAAATCGAATGAGGTGCATCAAGGTGGGGGGCGGGTATAAGAAGAGAGTCTATGTATAGGGATTATGAATGTCTTTGGGAGGATGTGTACATTTCTCCAGATAGCATGCTTCCATGTGCACAGCTCAACACAAAGATGAGTGTTGTAAATAAAAATTCCATTACCACTGCACACCTTAACGTCACTCTGCCCATTTATCCTCCACCACAGCTGTAGCTGAAGGCCAGTTTAATATCCCCAGTACGCAGCTGGAGATAGTGCAGAGATGAATTTGCCAAGCGCTTTATCTCCTCAGTGCAAGAGGCAGAGGTGAACTCAGGAGTGGGTGGAAGGTTGATGCCATGGGCTACTACTCTGAAGTAATCACATGGTTCAGGTATAATTTGTTGTTATGCCAGAGAGTTTTAGCACCTATGTGTGCATATGGAAGTTGGATGGCCTTCAGAAATCCCAAACACTGTCTCTCATGTAGGATTGTCTCAATGGTCACATAACTCAGTGTAGGAATAAGTACATTTTACAGTGGACTTTGGTGTGGTGACACATGGGAAACAGACATTGCGAGGTCAGGCTTTTGGCTGCAGTGCTGTGTTATTTTCTCATCTCCTGATCCAAAGCAGAAAATAATCAGGCGTGTTATATTGTATTTAACGGCATAAACTCCACAAGCCTTACATATGCTGCAGTTCAGCACACACACCCAAGACACAGCACCAAATGAGAACCGAAGGAAAAACTTGGGTGTTATCCTGGTGCTCATCTTCTCTGCTGGACTCTTCTATACAGCTGGGTTGGAGAGGTTCAGCGCCCCCACCTGCTGCCCCCGTGATGGGCTGTCCTAATGCTGGAGCCAGTGTGAGCATGAGCAGCAGCAGGTCCCGTGGCACACACACACTGTGTTAAAAGGAAGGGCAGAAGGACAAACATCACGGGCCAAGTAGCAGTCATCTTTAAATGGTAGGATAATTGAGTATTTTCAAATCTTGGTTTAGTCTTCTTTAAAACAAAAGGTTAGTGAATACATAGAATATTTTAATAGAATTAATCTCCTCATTGAAGAAAGGTTGCTTTGTTTCTAGTACAGAATATTCTGGTCAGGCGTGGTGGCTCACACCTGTAATTCCAGCAGTTTGGGGGGCCAAGACGGGTGGATCACCTGAGGTCAGGCGTTCGAAACCAGGCTGACCAACATGGAGAAAACCCATCTCTCCTAAAAATACAGAATTAACTGGGCATGGTGATGCATGCCTATAATCCCAGCTACTCAGGAGGCTGAGGCTGGAGAATCACTTGAACCTGGGAGGCAGAGGTGGTGGTGGGTTGAGATTGCACAATTATACTCCAGCTGGGGCAAGAAGAGAGTAACTCCATCTCAAAAATAATAATAATAATAAATCTAGGAGGGACAAAATACACAGCAGCAGGACATGTGGATCCTGGGGAGGAAATGACCTCTAGGGGATCAAGAAGGGAGGGCAAGTTAGCTCAGGTCAGATTAGGAAGGAGAAGCTGTCGATGCTCCAGGGAAACACTGTGTGGTGTGCCCTGTTTGAGATGGGTTACTTCATCTCAAAGAGGTTGCCTTAGCTAGAGGACCCAAGGCTCTGTCTTCTGAGGCCTTCCTGATGCCTTCCTTCACCATTTGCCTTCCCTCCACCATGGAGGATGGACTGGCAGCAGCTGAGTCTGTGCTGTGAACACACCTTTCCACACACGCCAGCCCCGTGTCCACAGCTCCAAGACCACCTGAGGGATTCACTCAGTGGAGCTCATGTGCTTATAGCGACTCTGTTTCCTAGGTGACCTGGAAGACCTGGAGGAGCATGGGCCAGGGCAGACAGTCTCTGAGGAAGCCACAGAAGTTCACACGGTAAAGTCGTCTTCTTTCCTCTGAAAAGGAAATTTTATTTCTCTCGGTTTCTCTGTTTCAATTGAATTAAGATGTATACATCTCACCATGTACACTATAGGTGACTGACAGAATTTCTTGGTGGGCAAATGTCAGCGTTCATTATCAACTAAAGAGTGGTTTCAGATGGCATCCACATTTACAAACTGTGTGTCAGCAGGCATTTACCTTAAGAGAAATGTCTTCTTGAGAAAAATTTGGAATTGTCAAACAAAAACAATGAAAATCTTGCACAAAAATCTTGTGCCTTTCCACGAATGTCTTCTAGATATCGGGGCCATTGTCTCAAGTACTATTTACCATCTGTTTTTTTAACATAAACAAGTGAAGAGAAGACCTGTGCACACAGGACACAGCCTGGTCTGATCCTCATAGTGTTTTGTTTTTCTCTAGATGGAGGGGGACCCAGACACACTGGCCGAATGTACGTATTCTGGGATCATCTCTTTGTTTAGGTTCAAAATATTAGAGTTGCAAAGATGGCACTGTTTTGCCTGCCTTTGTTCAAGAGCCACTCTGGTTTGAGCTGTCTGCCAGAAATGAGATTTGGGAAGTTTGGTTTAAAAGAATGCTAAGATCCAGTAAACCACTCTAACCATGCTACTGTCATCCCTGGAAGCAGCAGTGTCATCTAAGGTGGGGTGGTACATCAGGGATGGGAGGGACAGAGGAGACAGTCTGTATGGAATGATTGTGGATGTCTTTGGGAGTGTGTGTGCATTTCCCCAGAAAACACACTCCCATCTGCAAAGCACAACATGAGGATCAATGTTCAAGAAAAATTCCATCACCACTGCACAGTTTGCATAAATCAACCCATTCATCCTCCACCACAGCTGTACCTGAAGATAAGTTTAATATCCGCAGTCCTCAGATGGACATGCTGCAGAGTTGAATTTCCCAAGCTCTTGGTCTTTTAAATGGAAGAGGCACATGTGAACTCAGGGATGAGTGGAAGGTTAATGCCATGAGCTAGTACACTGAATTTGTCACAAAGCCCTGGTATAATTTCTTGCTAGGCCAAGTTATTCCAGCACTTCTGTGTGCATGTGGGAGAATGAAAACCTATTCAGATCCCAAACACTATCATTATCAGATGGTGTCAATGGTCATCTAACCCAGGGTTTGTTTGAGTAGGTACATTGCACAGTGGGCTTTAGTGTGATCATTAATGTAAAACACACAGAGTCCTCAGGCTTTTGGTCTACAGCGTTGAGGTCATTCCTCAGCTCCTGTTCAAAAGCAGACGATAATCAGTGCCATACTCTATTGTATTTGATGAGATAATCACGGCAAGTCTTAGAAGTTCAGTGGAACCCAATCCCAAGACATAGAATCCAATAAAAAAAAGTCAAGGCTCAACTTGGGTGTTAGCCGGGCACCCATTTTCCCTGCTGGAATCTCCTGCACAGCTGGATTGGAGAGGGTCAGTGCCCACCCCCCGCACCCCCTCGCTGCTCCCCATGACAGGCTGCTCCAGTGCTGGAGTCAGTGTGAGCATGGGGAGCAGTGAACATCATGCTACACACAAATTCTGTTGAAAAGGGAAAGTGGAAGAACAAATACCACATGCTAAGTAGGGGTCATCTTTAAATGGTAGGAAAATTATTTTCAAATCTTGGTTTATTTGCCTTGTACCAGAAAGTTAGTAATAAAATCTTTTGGCTAGAATTAAATCTCCTATTTTAAGAAAGGTTGCTTCTTATTCCGTACAAAATCTTCTAGAAGGGATGATAAACAGATCAGCAGCACATGTGGATTCTGAGGAGGAAATGACTTTGTCAGGGATCAATAAGAGGGCAAGTTAGCTCAGGTCAGATTAGGAAGGAGGAGCCCTAAGAGGCTGCCAGGGACACACAGCCTGCACTGCGTGGTGTGCACTGTTTGAGATTGGCTATTATATGTTTATGAGGTGGCCTGGAGCTAGGAAGCCAAAGGCCCTGATTCCCTTTCTTCCTGCATCTCTCCTGTGCCTGCTACCCTCCTCCCAAACCCACCTCAAGCAGTGTTACTGAATTGTTCATGAGCACCACCACCAAGGTGCTGATGGTCACTTTGTATCCTCCTAGTTCTGATCAGGGATGTACTTCAGGAGCTGTCCAGTTACAACGGTGAGGAGGAGGACCCAGAGGAGGTGAAGGTCAGGCCAACTGGATTTGTCTGAGAAAAAACTGTTGCTTTCTTAGCTTTATCTTATTTGGATTAAATTAAGATATGAGAATCTGAAGATATATATCTTAGTTACACAGTGTCCTTGAGGGAAATGGTAAGTGAGAGTCTGTCCCCACTGAGGCTTGATTTAAGACAGTGGGAG
Organism: Homo sapiens; assembly: GCF_000001405.40. Classification (NCBI taxonomy): domain Eukaryota; kingdom Metazoa; phylum Chordata; class Mammalia; order Primates; family Hominidae; genus Homo; species Homo sapiens. The sequence goes on along the minus strand of NC_000005.10, from coordinate 177,734,688 downwards.
AAAATGACAGCATCAGTCACCTGTTGTGTAACAGTGAGCCTTACCAATTTTGTTCTCTTTGGAGCAAAATCAGCTACTTGCCAGCCAACATGGACTTCAGAGGAAACATCCTCTGAGAAAAATGTGTGTCTTTAGTATGAGTTGATTTGTTCGCTTCTTTGGGGTTCCTTTGAACACTGGGTTTTCCATCTTGTTTTCTAATGTCACTAAGTGAAGAAAAGTCCTGTGCTCACAGGACACAGCATGGTCTGATGCTCATAGCAATTTATTTTCTGTCGTTACAGACATCCTTGGGAGTTCCACAACGTGGTACGTATTGGGGAACCCCTCTCATACTGATGAGTAATCCAGATGTTGAGGAATGTGGCCCTGTCTCACAGGCTTTCCTGTAGACAGGCAGCCTGAGCTGAGCTTCATGTTGTGAATGAGGACCTAGACTGTGATGGGAGAAATGGTTTTCTAGATAAGAAACAGTGGCCACATTCTGCAGTCCCCGGGAGCAGCTGTGTTCTCTGAAGGTGGGGTGGGATCCCGTGCAAGGGGCCTGCTCATGTCTTTTGTGAATTCATGTGGTGCTGTGGTCAGTGAGTCTGGGGGTGTGTGTGTGGGTTTCCGTACTACATATCCCCGGATTTTCTAGTGTCCACATTCTCAACAGAGATTTCCATCACCGTTGCAGTCCTGTTGCAGGCACATGAAAAAATTAACTTGTAAGCTTCCAAAGTGTACAGTTTATTTCACGCACAGGACACTTTAATTAACCTAAAAGAAATCCTCTCCACACCCAGGCAAATTCTTACTGCACACCCATAGAACAGGACTGTGTCAGGATCTCTGCTGATTTTATTTTTTCATTCAGAATTCCCTGCTATACTTTATTTTCTAATAAACCTCACCTCTTCACAGGCCTTTCTATTTCCTCTTGCCACTAGAATGGCATGACACCTCACTCTAGCCCCTTCCCTCCTTTACAAGCCTTTTCTACCAAAGCCCTCAGAACTGACCCTCCACCACCCATCTTGAGCAGGGAGAGTGGGGCAGGGCTTCTTCCTGTGCATTTAGACCCTGGAGCAGCCTCATGCTACAGCGAGTTCTGCTGGGAAACTGAGAAGAGAGGAGCCTGCAGGCGGGGTTAGGGGGAAATCACCCCAACTTTCTCCATAGAGGTCTCATATTGACCATAAGATAATGGGGCCCAGAATGGATAATTCCAGGGTCATGTAGAGTTTCAGCCTTGTATCCCTCAGCCTAGTCATGGTTTCTGTGTGCTCGGCTCAGAAACTACAACATGAAAAGAAAACCAAGGGGTTTGCCCTAGGGTCTGAGAGGCAGGGCGAGCACTTGCCTTCCTAGCATGATGGAGGGTGGCTCATGCAGTGCTGTGTTATTTTCTCATGTCCTGATCAAAAGCACAAAATAATCAGGTGTGTTATATTGTATTTAATGGCATAATCTCCACAAGCCTTACATATGCTGCAGTTCAGCACATACCCCCAAGACACAGCACCAAATAAGAACCGAAGGAAAAACTTGGATGTTACCCTGGTCCTCATCTTCTCTGCTGGACTCCTACACAGCTGGGTTGGAGAGGTTCAGCACCCCCACCTGCTGCCCCCATGATGGGCTGTCCTAGTGCTGGAGCCAGTGTGAGCATGAGCAGCAGCAGGTCCCATGGCACACACACACTGTGTTAAAAGGAAGAGCAGAAGCACAAACACCATGGGCCAAGTAGCGGTCATCTTTAAATGGTAGGATAATTGAGTATTTTCAAATCTTGGCTTAGTCTTCTTTAAAACAAAAGGTTAGTGAATACATAGGATATTTTAGTTAGAATTAAGTCTCCTCTTTGAGGAAGGGTTGCTTTTTATCTAGTACAAAAGTTGTGACATGGTGACTGACGCCTGTAACCCCAGCACTTTGGGAGGCCAAGGCGCGCAGATTACCTGAGGTTGAGAGTTCGAGACCAGACTGACCAACATGGAGAAAACCCGTTTCTCCTAAAAATACAGAATTAGCCAAGCATGGAGATGCATGCCTGTAATCCTAGCTACTCAGGAGGCTGACACTGGAGAATCCCTTGAACCCAGGTGGCACAGGTTGTGGTGGGTCGAGATGGCACCATTATACTCCAGCCTGGGCAAGAAAAGAGAAACTCCATCTCAAAAAAAAAAAAAAAAAGCAAGTTCTGGGAGGGACAAAAAACACAGCAGCAGGACAGGTGGATCCTGGGAGGAAATGACCTCGAGGGGATAAAGAAGGGAGGACAAGTTAGCTGAGGTCAGATTAGGAAGGAGGAGCCCTGGAGGCTGCAGTGAAACACTGTGTGGTGTGCCCTGTTTGAGATGGGCTCTTTCATGTCGAAGAGGTTGGCATAGCTAGAGGACCAAGGCTCTGTCTTCTGAGACCTTCCTGGTGCCTTCCTTCACCATTTGCCTTCCCTCTCCACCATGGAGGATGGACCGGCAGCAGCTGAGTCTGTGCTGTGAACACACCTTTCCACACACGCCAGCCCCGTGTCCACAGCTCCAAGACCACCTGAGGGATTCACTCAGTGGAGCTCATGTGCTTATAGCGACTCTGTTTCCTAGGTGACCTGGAAGACCTGGAGGAGCATGTGCCAGGGCAGACAGTCTCTGAGGAAGCCACAGGGGTTCACATGGTAAAGTCGTCTTCTTTCCTCTGAAAAGGAAATTTTATTTCTCTCGGTTTCTCTGTTTCAATTGAATTAAGATGTATACATCTCACCATGTACACTATAGGTGATTGACAGAATTTCTTGGTGGGCAAATGCCAGAGTTCATTATCAACTAAAAAATGGTTTCAGATGGCATCCACACTTAGAAACTGTGTGTCAGAGGCATTTTCCTTAAGAGAAATGCCTTCTTCTTGAGAAAAATTTGGAATTGTCAAACAGAAACAATTGAAAATGTTGCACAGAAATCCTGTGCCTTTCCAGGAATGTCTTCTAGATACCGGGGCCATTGTCTCAACCACTGTTTACCATCTGGCTTTTTAATGTCAACAAGTGAAGACCTGTGCACACAGGAGACAGCATGGTCTGACCCTCATAGTGTTTTCTTTTTCTCTAGATGCAGGTGGACCCAGCCACGCTGGCAAAGAGTACGTATTCTGGGATCCTCTCTTTGTTTAGGTTTGAAATCTTAGTGTTGTAAAGGTGGCGCTGCTTCACCTGCTTTTGCTCAAGGGCCACTCTGGTTTGAGCTTTCTGCCAGAAATGAGATTTGGGAAGTTCAGTTTAAAAACTACTAAGAGTCACACCGGGCACAGTGGCTCACGCCTGTAATCCCAGCACCTTGAGAGGTGGAGACGGGCGGATCAGCAGAAGTCAGGAGTTTGAGACCAGCCTGACTGACATTGAGAAACCCCATCGCTCCTAAAAATACAAAATTACCTGGGTGTGTTGTCACATGCCTGTAATCCCAGCTACTCAGGAGGCTGAGGCAGGAGAATCACTGGAACCCAGGTGGTAGAGGTTGCAGTGAGCCAAGGTTGTGCCATTGCACTTCAGCCTGGGCAACGAGTGAAACTCTGTCTCAAAAAAAAAAAAAAAAAAAACCCAACAAACTGGGAGTCCAGTACTCTAACCATGCTACTGTCATCCCTGGAAGCAGCAGTGTCATCTAAGGTGGGGTGGTACATCAGAGTTGGGAGGGACAGAGGAGAGAGTCTATATGGAATGATTGTGGATGTCTTTGCGAGTGTGTGTGCATTTCCCCAGAAAACATACTCCCATGTTCAAAGCACAACACAAGGATCAATGTCCAAGAAAAATTCCATCACCACTGCACAGTTTCCATAAATCAATCCATTCATCCTCCACCACAGCTGTACCTGAAGATAAGTTTAATATCCACAGTCCTCAGATGGACATGCTGCAGAGTTGAATTTCCCAAGCTCTTGGTCTTTTAAGTGGAAGAGGCACATGTGAACTCGGGGATGAGTGGAAGGTTAATGGCATGAGCTACTACACTGAATTTGTCACAAAGCCCTTGTATAGTTTCTTCCTAGGCCAACTGATCCCAGCACTTCTGTGTGCATGTGGGAGAATGAAAACCTATTCAGATCCCACAGACTATCGTTATTGGATGGTCTCAATGGTCAGCTAACCCAGGGTTTGAGTAGGTACATTGCGCAGTGGGCTTTAGTGTGACCATTAATGTCAAACACACAGAGTCCTCAGGCTTTTGGACTACAGTGTTGAGGTCATTCCTCAGCTCCTGTTCAAAAGCAGACAATAATCAGTGCCATACTCTATTGTATTTAAGGAGATAACCACCGCAAGTCTTAGAAGTTCAGTGGAACCCAATCCCAAGACATAGCATCCAATAAAAAAATCTCAAGGCTCAACTTGGGAATTAGCCGGGCACCCATTTTCCCTGCAGGAATCTCCTGCACAGCTGGGTTGGAGAGGGTCAGTGCCCGCCCCCCGCACCCCCTCGCTGCTCCCCATGACAGGCTGTCCCAGTGCTGGAGTCAGTGTGAGCATGAGGAGCAGTGAACATCATGGTGCACACAAATTCTGTTGAAAAGGGAGAGTGGAAGAACAAATACCACATGCTAAGTAGGGGTCATCTTTAAATGGTAGGATAATTATTTTCAAATCTTGGTTTATTTGCCTTGTAACAGAAAGTCAGTAATAAAATCTTTTGGCTAGAATTAAATCTCCTATTTTAAGAATGGTTGCTTCTTATTCCATACAAAATCCTCTAAAAGGGATGGTAAACACATCAGCATCCTCCTCAGTGGATTGTGAGGAGGAAATGACTTTGGCAGGGATCAATAAGAGGGCAAGTTAGCTCAGGTCATATTAGGAAGGAGGAGTCCTGGATGCTGCAGTGAAACACTGTGTGGTGTGCTCTGTTTGAGATGGGCTCTTTCATGTCGAAGAGGTTGGCGTAGCTAGAGGACCAAGGCTCTGTCTTCTGAGGCCTTCCTGGTGCCTTCCTTCACCATTTGCCTTCCCTCTCCACCACGGAGGATGGACCGGCAGCAGCTGAGTCTGTGCTGTGAACACACCTTTCCACACACGCCAGCCCCGTGTCCACAGCTCCAAGACCACCTGAGGGATTCACTCAGTGGAGCTCATGTGCTTATAGCGACTCTGTTTCCTAGGTGACCTGGAAGACCTGGAGGAGCATGTGCCAGAGCAGACAGTCTCTGAGGAAGCCACAGGGGTTCACATGGTAAAGTCGTCTTCTTTCCTCTGAAAAGGAAATTTTATTTCTCTCGGTTTCTCTGTTTCAATTGAATTAAGATGTATACACCTCACCATACACACTATAGGTGACTGACAGAATTTCTTGGTGGGCAAATGCCAGAGTTCATTATCAACTAAACAGTGGTTTCAGATGGCATCCACACTTACAAACTGTGTGTCAACAGGCATTTTCCTTAAGAGAAATTCCTTCTTCTTGAGAAGAATTTGGAATTGTCAAAGAAAAACAATTGAAAATGTTGCACAGAAATCCTGTGCCTTTCCAGGAATGTCTTCTAGATACCGGGGCCATTGTCTCAACCACTGTTTACCATCTGGCTTTTTAACGTCAACAAGTGAAGACCTGTGCACACAGGAGACAGCATGGTCTGACCCTCATAGTGTTTTCTTTTTCTCTAGATGCAGGTGGACCCAGCCACACTGGCAAAGCGTACGTATTCTGGGATCATCTCTTTGTTTAGGTGTGAAATCTTAGTGTTGTAAAGGTAGTGCTGCTTCACCTGCTTTTGCTCAAGGGCCACTCTGGTTTGAGCTTTCTGCCAGAAATGAGATTTGGGAATTTTGGTTTAAAAACTACTAAGAGTCACACCGGGCACAGTGGCTCACGCCTGTAATCCCAGCACCTTGAGAGGCGGAGACGGGCGGATCAGCAGAGGTCAGGAGTTTGAGACCAGCCTGACTGACATTGAGAAACCCCATCGCTCCTAAAAATACAAAATTACCTGGGTGTGGTGTCACATGCCTGCAATCCCAGCTACTCAGGAGGCCAAGGCAGGAGAATCACCTGAACCCAGGTGGTAGAGGTTGCGGTGAGCCAAGGTTGTGCCATTGCACTCCAGCCTGGGCAACGAGCGAAACTCCGTCTCAAAAAAAAAAACAAAAACAAACAAAAAAAAAAACACCCCAACAAACTAAGAGTCCAGTACTCTAACCATGCTACTGTCATCCCTGGAAGCAGCAGTGTCATGTAAGGTGGGGTAGTACATCAGAGTTGGGAGGGACAGAGGAGAGAGTCTATATGGAATGATTGTGGATGTCTTTGTGAGTGTGTGTGCATTTCCCCAGAAAACATACTCCCATGTTCAAAGCACAACACGAGGATCAATGTCCAAGAAAAATTCCATCACCACTGCACAGTTTGCATAAATCAACCCATTCATCGTCCACCACAGCTGTACCTGAAGATAAGTTTAATATACCCAGTCCTCAGATGGACACGCTGCAGAGTTGAATTTCCCAAGCTCTTGGTCTTTTAAGTGCAAGAGGCACATGTGAACTCGGGGATGAGTGGAAGGTTAATGCCATGAGCTAGTACACTGAATTTGTCACAAAGCCCTGGTATAATTTCTTGCTAGGCCAAGTTATTCCAGCAATTCTGTGTGCATGTGGGAGAATGAAAAGCTATTCAGATCCCAAACACTATCGTTATCAGATGGTCTCAATGGTCAGCTAACCCAGGGTTTGTTTGAGTAGGTACATTGCACAGTGGGCTTTAGTGTGATCATTAATGTAAAACACACACAGTCCTCAGGCTTTTGGTCTAGAATGGTGAAATCATTCCTCAGCTCCTTTTCAAAAGCAGACAATAATCAGTGGCATATTCTATTGTATTTAATGAAATAATCATCAGGCAGGATACCTGCCCCACACTAGTTGCAGAGGAGGTGAGAACAGACCCTGCTTCAGTGCAAGGTGAACTCAGCAAAGGGAGTGGGGCTGCTCCAGAGTCCAGGTGGTCCTTGCAACTCTCCTGTGTGATGTATAAGACATCACTTTGCCTTTTCTCTGAGATAGTCTTGGAATTGTTAGTCCTAAACTCTGTTTTGCTTTACTTATGTGTAGATGAATCCTGGCCATGGCTGGTCACGGAGGGGAAGGACTATGTCCTCCTCGTTCCTTCTCATCCCAGAGCTTAGCCCTGGGCAGCCCATCTTGGGCCCCAGTAATGTTCCAATGCTTCCAAACCCTTTGCTGAGATCCAGCACCAGTGTGAAAAGGCTTCCTGCTCATCTCCTTCAATCTGTTGTTTCTCATAGTAATTTAGAAACCTTAGTGGATTCTGATCCAAGGTCACAGGAGAATAGGGTGGGCTCCTGAAGTCAATGAAGTGTCCCCCTCATCTCTACCCTGGCTACTTTGGTTCAGCTTTTCTCCTTGCAGAAGAGGCTGTTTTTCTGTTTACGAGTCCTCCTTTGCTGGACCAGGCTTTTTTATTTTTGTTGTGGCATCCCTGCACTTCACAGGGGGCCTGGAGCTTGTTCCTGTGCCCCTGAAGTACCCATCCATGAATGATCAGATCACAGCAGCAAACCACTCTGCCAGGAATCACCAGGGGGGAGAGTCACATCTTCCTCATCTTTGGGTTTAGACCTGTGCATTCCAGTATGGTCCTCAGTGGCATATGTGCCCATTCATGTTAAAATAAATGAAAAAATTCATAACCTCCTCACAAGAGCCATGCTAGAAGTTCCCAGTTGCCAAAAGTCTACTCTTAAGAGAGCATCTCCATTCTCCCAGAATCACCTGGGAAGCAGCTGCTGTGAGTCTGGCCCAGGTTCTGTTCTCTGCACCCACCTAACTCAGTGCATTTGCATCAAGGCTGGAATCTCAGGTTCTCAGATTGGAGGTAAGAGATGCTATGAGCCAGTGTCGGTGAACAGTTGAAAGGGATTATTTCAGGTCCTCTGTCTTACCTGAAGGCTCACAACTGTGAGCAGTGCCTTCATAAAGGCCCCTGAGTTCACAGAGCCCAGGGAGAATCACAGTGGACAGAGCAGTAGTACTAATGTTTGTGTCTCTGTACATGGGCTCATGGGCACCACCTCTGGATCCATCCAGGAGGAAATAGACTGGTCAGGTAGGGACCAACACTCCAGGGTTGACCAGTGAGACAGGGTTCTTGGGAATTGGGTTACACTTATTTTGGAGCCTAGGATGGGATCAGTGAAGTGACTAAATATGAAACAGGTGTAGAAGTCTGACTTGGGATTTTTTGTATCTTAATGAGAAAGTCCTAAGAGTTTTGTTCTCATGGGCTTTGTGCGAGTTGTGTATGTCACCATCATTTCTTGCTCTGGTGTTTAAATATTACATTTTGCAGAAGACCAGATCATTCCTGCCTTTGCCACAGTAAGCACCAGAGCCCTGGGTTTTGATGAGGTAGCATTTTTTTGTGAATAGAGATCACAAGATGAGTATGCAGGTGTAAAGTTGAGTGTGGGGTGGGACACAGCCCCACATAGGCGCTACGTGATCCTGAAGACAAAGTCCTTCATACGTGTGCCAGGAGGTGAAAGGAGCCCACTGTCTTTCTCTACACTCTTGGGACCTGCAACAGCACCTTCCTGTCCTGTCCTCACTGTCTGCTCCTGCTCTAAGGGTGCTCCCTGGGTCGGATGACACAGGGAATCCTTCCTCTGGGATTCCTACGTGTGCCCCAGCATCCTGGAGTCCTGAGGGCAGAACACATGATTGAGCACAGTTTTGGCCTCCACTCCTCACCCAATCCCATCCAATCCCAAATCCCTGTGCTTTGAATGAAACCTAAATTGGCTTTCACTGGAGAGGCCCAAGTCTAGCTGTTGCTCAGGGCCCTCTGTGGCTGGCAGGAATCCTAAGGGATATGTGTGGAGGGGCTGCTGTGTTGCTGTAGGCAGTGGCTCTCACCCTCCCTGTAGCCTGGTCCCTGGAATCCACTGGGCCCAGGGCAGAGCCTCTGGGCAGCTGGCACAGTAGTCACTTGTCTTGTCACACCCTCCTCTCTGGCTCAGCAGCCTTGTCCTTCTCCCCACACTCCAGTCAGGCCCAGATTGTTCTCTGTGTCAGGTCTTCCAGGTACCTTCCCTCCTAGTCTTCCCACAGCTCAGGCAAACCCTGGGAGGGTCCCCTCATTTCTGTGCTGGCAACTGCTGGCCTCACTTGCAGATTAAGGCAACTGGGACAAGGAGCTTTACCTTGAATTCTGTTCCATTGTTTCCAAATATTCAGAAGCTGCTGGGATTCTTTTGAGGGCTGAATATTTTCCAAGTCTCTAAGGTCACTCCAGGCATAGAACAGTCACTGTATAAGTGACATCGGCCATCATCACCTCCCGCAGGCCCCAACACAACCCCAGGCCTGTGGGAGGTGCTGCTGACCCAGGGTGCGATCCGTGGGTTGATTGGAGGCCCTGGCAGTGCAGCCTTGACCTTCTTTCCAGTGTTCTTATTTTGGAGAACAGTAGGACTGGTGGAGGTCCACAGGGTGAAAGGAAATGGGATTCATGCGGGAACAGAAACAGGCCCTACAGGAGGAGAAGGGAGGGAACTCCATGTCACGCACAACGTTGTGAAGAGGGCGCTGCCTCTTGGAGGAACAGAATGACACGGCTTCCCCTCCCTTGGCTCAGTTATGGAATGTGAGGGCTGGGAAAGTACATGGGAAGTCAGAGGTCCCTCCCTCATAGCACAGAGGAAATGATACAGGCTGTGGAGAAGGCTCCAGAAATGAGCACATCAGAGGCTCTGGGGTTGGCTCCACAGCCCCAGGACAGCGGGGTCTGAGTGGTTCTCTCGACTCTAACTCTCCCCTTTCCTTCTTATGGCCACCCCATCACCGCTGCTCCTCCGGACACTCTGATGCTTGCTTCACAGAATTGGAAGACTCCACCATTACAGGCAGCCACCAGCAGGTAATTGATCTCCTCTTATATGCTGGCTGTCTTTTATCCTCTTTCTGACTCATGAGCTCCTTTTTTAGCTCTAGTCCTTTTCCTCTTTCCCTCTCTTGTGATTGTTCTCCTGAAGGACCTGGTCTCATCCCACAGTTGAGGTCCTCGGGTCTTCAGTGTCGATAAAATCCCTCTCCAGCCCTCCTGCCCACTGCCTTGGCATTGCCCTGTTTACTGGCCCCCAGGTTGCAGCTTTGAATCTTGCTGAACAACCCTACAGGGTCCAGGGGAGGGGGCTGGGCTGGGGTCAGAAGAGCTGGACCCCACCCTGCTGGAGGGACCCCCCAGTGACATCTGGGTCTGCTCTGGACACCGCCTTCACAGATAGGTCTTTTCCTGCACTGGCGTCTCTGGACATGCACAATTGTTCTCTTCCTCACAGATGTCAGCAAGTCCTTCCTCTGCACCTGCAGAAGAAGCAACAGAAAAGACCAAAGTGGAAGAGGAAGTGTGAGTGTGCAGTGGGCAGAATGATGAGGGAAGTGGGCACGTGCCCATGTTCTTCTTGGCTACGCTCACTTTCTTGTTGTCCCATCAGGAAAACCAGAAAGCCCAAGAAGAAAACCAGGAAGCCCAGCAAGAAAAGCCGGTGGAATGTCCTGAAATGTTGGGACATTTTTAATATATTTTAGAGACCTCTGAAGGCAAGTGAAGGATGCCCTGAGAACATGCTCCAGGAAACAGACACCCACTCCATAGCAGCCCCTGAGCCTGCTGGGCTGAGCCCTCCACAGGCTGCTTAGTGAGGGAGACACTGAGGTGCTGGTCGCACCCCCATGTGCAGGACTCCAAGGGCTTTGCACTGTGTTGTCTGCAGTAACTCTTCAGCTCACCAACATCTCATTTGGGGGGACCTAGCTCTGTCTTCCCAGCCCCTTGAGGACAACAGGGAGCATCACTAGTTCATCCTGAGGAGACACTAGGGTTGACATGAATCCCCCTGGTTCAGGCCTCCTGGGAAAGGTGTGAGAGGGATGGAGGCACCCCCAGGCTCCTTGTCACACAAGCGAGCAGCCCACCCGACCCAGTATTGCAGGCCAGCAGGCCCTCAGTAGGTCCTGGTGTCAAGCAGGGGACACGGCAGGATCCAAGAAGCACTGAAATGTGTCCAGTCCCAGGAGTCCTTCAGCCTCTGGGGGGTCTGGGGGCCTCCAGTTCCAGGGGTCCTTCAGCCTCTGTGGGGGCCTGGGGTGGCCTCATGGCCCCCTTTTTCAAGATGAGGTTGGAGGCTTCTGTATGTAGAGGGCACTGGCTTGGGCCAAATGCCAACAAAACAAACCCTTGAAGACATTTCAGGGCCATGCTCACTTGGGAGGGTTTGAGGACATGATTTAGCGAGCCTCTGTTTTTTAAATATATTTTCCAATCTTGAAATAAGGTACACATATGAATGTGTGTGTGTGTGTGTGTACATATACACTGTTTTTCACTTTCAAATGTATGTCTTCTGTAACCCTTTTATGCTAGAATATACAAACATGAGAAATTTGTGTCTTACCAAAGCATAATTTTAAAAATTACAAAGCAAAGACAGGTCCGGTGGGGATGCTAGAAAGACCAGGTCTTATTAGGCAATAACAATGACATGCTCCAGGAAGCTATGCATGTTCAACGTGCAGCTCTTCTCCAGGAAGCTATGCATGTTCAACGTGCAGCTCTTCTCCAGGAAGCTATGCATGTTCAACGTGCAGCTCTTCTCCAGGAAGCTATGCATATTCAACGTGCAGCTCTTCCGTCTGGATGGCACAGAGGATCTGGGTGGCAAGGCAGGGTCACCACCCCCACCCTGTGTCATGAGACCTCCTGCTCCTCTTAGGGCCCAGGGGCATGGGACTCTGCCTGTTGATCCTGGTATGCTTGAAATTCCGTTTCTGTGTGTCTGTTTTACCCTCCGGGGAACCAGCCCCCTGAAGGTGCCCGTGTGAGCGCCCAGGTTCATTCTTCCTCCATGACACTCACACTCTCTGTGGACAGATAACTCCTCAGCAGAGAGCAGCACACAGGGCTCAGTGCCTTGACATCTGAGTAGACCTGATTGTGGGGAGCTCAGGGGCCCCAGGTCACCTTCCAGGGCCCAAGGAGGTCTCTGAGACCTGCACACCCATCCCAGGGAGCCCCTCCTCCCTCTACCTCTGTGCCTCTCTAGTGACCCTTGCACCTCTGTCTGTGTTGCAGATTCCTCGACCACCAGGAAGGGCCCCGACGTGGGGATGTCAACATGGCTCAGACTTGATGTGGATCGTGATCATTTCGGGAAATGTGTTACTCCAAAAACTTTTATAATCTTTGCTTAATTTGTTTTTAAATACTTTCCTGGCTGGGCGTGGTGGCTTATGCCTGTAATCCCAGCACTTTGGGAGGCCGAGGCGGGTGGATCACCTGAGGTCAGGAGTTCAAGACCAGCCTGGCCAACAAGGTGAAACCCCGTCTCTACTAAAAATACAAAAATTAGCTAGGCGTGGTGGCGCACTCTTGTAGTCCCAGCTATTTGGGAGGCTGAGGCAGGAGAATCACTTGAACTCAGGAGGCGGAGGTTGCGGTGAGCCGAGATCATGCCACTGCACCCCAGCACCTGGCTACAGAGTGAGACTTTGTCTCAAAAAAAAAAAAAAAAGAACAAAAAAATTCTGACTTTAACCTCTGTTTTTCAGAGGGCACAAATTGTTCTTGTATTGTTTCCATTTTACATTTTTTTCTTGAAGTTATTTTCCAATTGTTTTCATTCTTTCTGAAGTTTTGTTTACTCGGTTTTAAGTTTTTGTAATTTTGATAGACTTCTTTTGTGCTTTCATTTTCTTAATGACTTTTACCTCATTTTTAAAACAAATCCATAGTATGGTAAGTTACATCAATATGGAGTATTTTTATGTTTTGTGGTGATTTACATTCTGTATGTATTTTACATATATAAATGTTAATGGCCTGGTGCAGTGGCTACCACCTGTAATCTCAGCAGTTTGGGAGACCAAAGCAGGACGATTGCTTGATCCCAGGAGTTTAAGACCAGCCTGGGCAACATAGTGAGACCTCATCCCTACAAAAAAAAAAAAATCCTTTAATTAGCTGGGCATGGTAGCATCCATCTGTAGCCCCAGCTACTTGGGAGGCTGAGGCAGGAGGACTGGTTGAGCCTAGGAGGTTGAGCCTCCAGTAAGCCATGACTGCACCACTGCACTCCAGCCTGGGTGACAGAGCAAGACCCTGTCTTAAAAAAGAAAAGTTTATTAACGTGAATATCAGTTAGAAATCTAGTTGTTCATTGCAAAACTAAACCAGTTTATAGCAGAAATAAGCACTTGGAGGGAAATGTTACATTTTCACTGCAGGCCTTGAATCCTTAGCCACCAGCTCCGTGTCCTTCAGTGTTCTGTGGTTCCTGGTTCCAGAGAGATCACCTGCTCCAATGTAACGAGTGAAGAGTTCTTTAGGTGATGGCTGCTGGGCCCAGCTTTGCTGTTGTCTTTGCTGTCTTGTAAGCTTTGTGTCGCTCAAGTTCAGTTGTGTATGAGTGTACTAACCACTGTGAGCTTCTCCAAGCATGTGCAAGCAATTTGAGAGGAGCCTAATATTTGCAAGGAATTTGAGAGGAGCCTTTTAAGGATGTTTTATTGGCGGGGGTCAGGTGAGGGAGATAACACGGGGGCAAGAAGGAAAGTTATTAATTCATGGGAAACTACCAGCCCTTCATCACCTAACTTGTGATTTACAGACACTGAGCACATTGCAGGTTGAGAAGGTGCTTGGTCCTTTTTGTAGCCTTATGCTGTGCTCTTCAGAGACGTGAGTGTGCTGCTTTTTCTCACCATTTTGTTTCTTGTAGATTGTTTTCCTTGATGCTGGAAAACATTTTGAAGACAAGACTCTAAACAGTGACCTATGCCACACTAGTTTATTGGAAAATGAGAAACTTACATTACTGACAAGCTTGGAAGATTCTTCAGTCCTGCAGTGACCTGTGTGTCCCTGGTCTTTACCTTACCAATCTGCTTGATTCTCCTTTCTTGTGGCAGTAGTTATGATGCCAACTTTTGGGGTTCTTTGTCCTCCTCTTTTCTTCCTACCTGCCAGCATTCAAATGGCCACTTCTATTAAGTGATGGAATTCAAGAATGTATTTATTTATTAATCCTGATATTGTTTCACTCATCCCTCAGTTTAACATTTAGGGTACAAAGTAGTCACCTAGAGGTGCCACTCAATATACAGCACTGTGTTTAGAAATTGAGGGAGCCATGAAATATTTAGCCTCTGCTCTCTGAGACCTCAGCCAGGTGCAAAGAAGAGATGCAGAACCACATTTCAGATTGTGTTGTGTACAACCAGCAGCACCAAAATGTGCCTGGGAATCATGGGGGTCAGAAATTTACCTCTGAGGCAGGTATGGCTGAAGCTTTACGAAAAGAGATGGGGCCCGTGCCAGGCCTTAGACGTGCGAGAAGGAGGGCGTGTCAGGAAGCAGAAACAGTATCAGCAAAGGCGCTGCTGGGAGGCATGTGGGCAGTGTTTGGGGAACGGCCAGGGGCTTTCTGTGTCAGGTTTACAGCATCTGTGGGAGGCTGCGTTGGTAAATAACCCCAGAGAAGTAGGCTGGGGCTACTTACATTAAAAGTATGCATGGCTTTGAAGGCCAGCTGAGTGGTATAAATAGAAACTACAAATAGTATCACATTTATTGAGGACAGCTTGTGCTGCCAAAAGAGTTTTTAAAATTTTTTTGGATTGTGTAATTGGTGGATAAAGAATTATTGACCTAAATGTATCTGATCTTAGAGTGTTTTAGTATGCTAGATTATTGGAGGTGAAATGGCTAAGTCAAAGGTGATGAGTGTTTTTGAGACTCTTAATGTTAATTGCAAAATTAACCTCTAAAAAGGTAGGCCGGGCGCACTGGCTCACGCCTGTAATCCCAGCACTTTGGGAGGCCGAGGCGGGCGGATCACGAGGTCAGGAGATTGAGACCATCCTGGCTAACACGGTGAAACCCCGTCTCTACTAAAAATACAAAAAGTTAGCCCGATGTGGTGGCAGGTGCCTGTGGTCCCAGCTACTCAGGAGGCTGAGGCAGGAGAATGGTGTGAACCCAGGAGGTGGAGCTTGCAGTGAGCCGAGATCACGCCACTGCACTCCAGCCTAGGTGACAGAGTGAGACTCCACCTCGAAAAAAAAATAAATAAATAAAAGCCAGTGCCAGCTTAGACCATGACTGAGAGCTCTTGGTTTATCTTATCCTTGCCGAGCTGGGTGTTACAACATTGAAGCCTTCTGCAGTGTCCTCCCTCCCTTTTTCTCTCTTTCTCTCTCTCTCCTCCCTTTCTTCCTTTTACTTCTCTTAGGATAGGCTCGTCTGTACTTTTTTGATAGAGGTAACCATTTGCCACACCATTTTCTGAAGTGCCTGCTCTCTTCCCCATTCATTTGTGATGGCACATTTATCCTACCCTAAGCTTTGATAACGTGTCAGGATCTTTCTGTCCTGTCCTCTCAAAGAGGTTAAATATTTTTTTATAATAACTTATAATTGACTGAAGTTATAACAGTTTTCTCATGTCAAGTATAAAAACAGGCCAGGCGAGGTGGCTCACACCTGTAATCCCAGCACTTTGGTAGGCCAAGGTGGGTGGAATGCTTGAGTCCAGGAGTTTAAGACCAGCCTGGACAACATGGGACAACCCCATTTCTACAAAAAAAAATACAAAAATTATCCAGGCAAGGTGGTGCACGCGTGTAGTCCCAGTTACTCGGGAGGCTGAGGTGGGAGGATGGCTTGAATCTGGGAGGTGAAGATTGCAGTGAGCTGAGATCACACCACTGCATTCAGTCTGGATAATAGAACAAGACTCTATCTCAAAAAAAAAAATTGTATACTTTATTGACTCATTTATGTCTGATGGGTATTTTTGATTACAAATTGTTTAGTCACTACTTTAAGGCCTGCTTTATTTTTTTCTTAATTTTATTGACTCATTTATGTCTTAGTCTTTTTTATTACAAATTATTTATTGTTCAGTCACTACCTTAGAGCCTGTTTTATTTTTTCTTAATTTTATTGACTCATTTATATCTCAGCCCTTTTTATTACAAATTATTTATTGTTTAGTCACTGCCTTAGAGCCTGTTTTATTTTTTCTTAATTTTATTAAAGGATGATATTGATGATGAAATGTCTTACGATGATCATTTAGAGGTTTATTTCGAACAACTGGCAATTCCAGGAATGATGGAATAAAGCATACGAAGTAGAAGGACTGGAACCTCCAGAAAAAGTACTTTAAGTTACCTACAGGTGATCCTAGTCAGGTATGTTACAGTCTTAATGGCTTTTCAGAAATTTGACAGAAAATCACTGTTGATCTCACTGGATGTTTACATGAATTTTAAGCCTTTGGTTTTCTTTTAACTCTGTTTTTTACAGGTATGAATTGATAAGAAATGCCTGCACCTTCCCTCCTTCCTATCTTTCCCTTGCCTACAGAAAATTAAAAGGCAAAACAATGGACATCTACATATTCTTCATTCAGATCAACCAGTGGCTAGCATTTGCCACCTTTTGCAGTTTCTTTCTCTTTCCATAAGTACTTTCTTCTCTGAATCATTTGAAAGTAAGTTGAAAAGAGCATGATGTTTTACCCCAACACTTCAGCGTTTATCTCTTGTGAATAATGACATATTTCTATGTAATTACAGTTCTACCATCTAACTATAATACAGTAATTTGATGTACAGCCCATATTCAGATTTACCTAATTGTCTCCAAAATGTTCTTTATTTTTGTTTTAGATCCACAGTTTAATCAAAGATTAACCTTGCCTTTGGTTGTCACGTCTCTCTATTCTTTTACTTTGGAGTAGTTCTTTCAATACATGAAACATTTTGAAAAATCTAGGCTCTTTGTTTTGTAGAGTGACCCATAATCTAGATATATCTGGTTGCTTTTTTCTTCTCCTGACTAGAATAGATTGAGCATTTTGGCAAGAATACAGATTAAACAGTGTTCTCATGAGTGGATCCAGATTAAACAGGGAATAATGCCTAATTCAGATTAGGCAGTGTTGTGTACTTACCGCCTCACACCAGGAGATGTTTGCGTCTGTTTGTCCCACGATTGCTGATGCTATGTTTAATAATTTTGGTTGAGATAGTGTCAACTGGACATCTCCTTGTGAGGGTAGCTTTTCCCTTTTGTTATTAGTCATCTGTGGGATGAGACATCAAAGCACTGTGAACATCTTAGTCCCTGGCAACCTTCACGAGCTGGTTTCAGCATCATTGCCGAAGCCTCTTGGAAACATTGATTACACCCGTGGTTCCAATGGTGATTTTTCTCATTCCTTTTACATTGATTACCTGCCTCCTTGAGTAAGGTAGATGTTGTCTACTCCCCATGTTTTCCCTTCAAAATGTTTAATTTTAATTTAAATGATTAATACAGCTAAGTTATTCTTTCAACAGGCAAATGAAAACAGTAGCCTAAAGTGTCAGTTTCAACCCGAAAATAACAGCTCTGATTTCTCATGGCTCACACTCGTCTGAAATGACTCGGGTAGAGGCTGAGGAAGGCTGTGTTGTTTGTCTACCTGGGACTAGTAAGTATAGAAATAGAATTCCTTTGTTCTTAAATTCTACCTTTG